>NC_000017.11:7612323-7763838 GCF_000001405.40 Homo sapiens | reverse complement strand
CCGTGTAGCTGCAAGAGCCCCAGATCCCAGCTAGGATGTTGTTTTCTTTGCAGACATACCCTCTGTCCCCACACGGGCTGCAGGTCTCATTTCCTTCCACCCAAACCTGGGCAGCAGTTCTAGAGTGTTCTTCTACTCCCAGGCATCCCTCATTCCAATCTGCCCCAGCCATGCAGCTGTGACTGACTGTCATTTTCCCAGTCACTGGCTATAAGATAGCAGTCAAACTTCTTATTCTGGCATTCAAAGCTCTAGAGTGAGGCAGGGTGCGATGGCTCACGCCTGTAATCCCAGCACTTTGGGAGGCCGAGGCAGGTGAATCACGAGGTCAGGAGTTCAAGACCAGCCTAGCCAACATGGTGAAACCTTATCTCTACTAAAAATACAAAAATTGGCCAGGCACAGTGGCTCACGCCTGTAATCCTAGCACTTTGGGAGGCCGAGGCCGGCAGATCACGAGGTCAGGAGATCGAGACCACGGTGAAACCCCATCTCTACTAAAAATACAAAAAATTAGCCAAGTGCGGTGGCAGGCGCCTGTAGTCCCAGCTACTTGGGAGGCTGAGGCAGGAGAATGGCTTGAAACTGGGAGGCGGAGCTTGCAGTAAGCCGAGATCGCGCCACTGCACTCCAGCCTGGGCGACAGAGCAAGACTCTGTCTCAAAAAGAATAAATAAATAAATAAATATACAAAAATTAGCTGGGTGTGGTGGCGGGCACCTGTAATCCCAGCTACTGGGGAGGCTGAGGCAGAAGAATCACTTGAACCCGGGAGGCGGAGGCTGCAGTGAGCCAAGATGGCGCCACTGCACTCCAGCCTGGGTGACAGGGTGAGACTCTGTCTCAATAAAAAAAAAAAGCTTTAGAGTGGCACAGATCTGGGTTGAATTTGCCCTGTGCTGCTTCCTAGTTCTATGACCTCAGGCAGGTTTTTTTTTTTTTTTTAACTGTTTGAGTCTCGGTTTCCTCATCTGTAATACAGTGACAGTAACAGAGCCTGCCTCACAAGGTGGTTGGGAGAATTCACTTGGCTGCTACAGCGCCCCTTTGTGTTCTTCCTTTCCTGTGCCTATGTTGCAGATCTCACTCTGTGGGGTGAACGTGCTCATGGACTCACATCTTTATGCCTTTGCTCATGCTATTTCCTCCACATGGAATGCCTTCCCCACTGCCCATCTCTGCCTGTTGAAATCCTATGCAAAGTCGGCCGGGCTTGGTGGCTCAGGCCCGTAATCCCAGCACTTTGGGAGGCCAAGGCAGGTGGATCATGAGGTCAGGAGATTGAGACCATCCTGGCTAACACGATGAAACCCCATCTCTACTAAAAATACAAAAATTAGCTGGGCGTGGTGGCGGGCACCCGTAGTCCCAGCTACTCGGGAGGCTGAGGCAGGAGAATGGCATGAATCCGGGAGGCGGAGCTTGCGGTGAGCAGAGATGGCGCCATTGCACTCCAGCATGGGCGACAGAGTGAGACTCCGTCTCAAAAAAAAAAAAAAAAAAAAAAGAAATCCTACGCAAAGTCCCTTCCTCCAGGAAGCCTTCCCTAAAATCCCCAGCTGGAAATCCTCTGTCCTTCCATTGAACTGCCCTGGCGTGTGATATCCCTTCATCACAGTATTTACCACAGTGCAGCTGTGTAATAACACAGTACACGAGCACAGGGCTTCAGCCTACAAAGTGCCTTCATGTATCTTTAATCATTTCACAAGGTTCCAAGGTAGGTAGTGTAATATCTGTTTCATAGAAAACTGAGGCCCAGAGAATACAGAAAACCTGCCTAAAGTCACACAGCTACTAAGTGGCACAGCTGCGATTCCAAGTCTTCTCGTGACACCACGGCCACCACTCTTTCAGCGATACTTTTATCTTCCTTACTACTCTAGAGCCCTCAGGAGGAAAGAACTTGCTCATTTCTTTTTTTTTTTTTTCTTAACTCCTCATGGCCCATACAATGAATGTTTATGGAATGAATGTTTACAGAATGAATGAATGAATGACCAGAGGCCCATAAAAAGATGTGAGTTAAGATCAGAAATTAAGATCTTCTTCTAGGCCAGGCATAATGGCTTACGCCTATAATCCCAGCACTGAGGGAGGCTAAGGTGGGTGGATGACTTGAGGTCAGGAGTTTGAGACCAGCCTGGCCAACATGGTGAAACCCTGTCTCTACTAAAAATACAAAAATTAGCCAGGCGTGGTGGTGAATGCCTGTAATCCCAGCTACTCGGGAGGCTGAGGCAGGAGAATTGCTTGAACCCGGGAGGCAGAGGTTGCACTGCACTCCAGCGTGGATGACAGAGTGAGACTCTGTCTCAAAAAAAAATATTTGAAAAAAAAAAAAAGATTTTCTTCCTGAGTGGGCAACATAGAATCTCTACAAAAAATTTTAAAAAAAAGAAAATTATTCAAGCATGGTGGCATGTGCCTGTGGTCCCAGCTACTCAGGAGCGTTAGCCAGGAGGATCGCTTGAGCCCAGGAGGTCCAGGCCGCAGTGAGCTATGACCACACCACTGCACTCCAGCCTAGGCAATGACAGAGCAAGATCCTGTCTCAAACAAAATAAAACAAACAAAATAATCTTCTATTTAACTCCCATCTGCCTTCTTAGAATCAAAGGGCTCACTTCTTTCATCTTCCAGATCTCTGGAACTTCTTCTTTCTCACCAGGCCCTGCCATCCTCCCCTAGACAACTGCTTTTCACCTAAATCCTGTCCAGCTCTTCCCTGATCTCTACCCCTTGAGAAGCAAAGGTCCAATGTCCTAGGTCCTGTTCTTTTCCTGTCATTGAGGACACATGTCATCCTCAGCTCCCCTACCCACTTCCCAAGACTCTAGGCCTGGGCTCCTCCTGCAGTGCTGTGCCTCCTACAGACAGACTTTCAATCCACCCTCACCACTCACCGGGCAATGTCGGCAACAAAAGAAGAGACAGGAGGGTTGAGGCGCTGGTAGCGATGAATGAAGGAGTCCTTGTTGATCTCCCAGATCTCCCGGTACATGTCCCAGGTCTTGAGGTAGTTCTGCAGCAGGCTTGCGTTGTTAGTCATGCCGCTGCTGATTTGGGTCTGGATCTTCTTGATGTCCTCATCTTGCTCTTCAAAGGACCAAGAAAGATGCTTCTCACTGACTTCCACCCCAACCCAACTTCTGCCTGAGCCCTGCCCACTGCTCCAGACCTTCCACTCTAAAACCAGCTTCCCAGAGAAATACAGCTCAAACATGCACATTAGAAGGTAAAGGAGTAGGCAGAAAGTGAAAATGTGACTCTTAGTGTCTCCTTCATAGGATGTGATGTCTTGTCTGTTGGTATCTAGGCCTCTTACAGGCCAGTCCCAGTCCCAGTCCCAAGCTTGTCTTTCCTCATCTCCCATCCCAAATCCCAAAACCCATGAGCATCAGTCACCTAATCTCAACCCCCATCCAAGCCCCTGCTCCCTTCCCCAGTCTGGCCCCCCTGTTTTTGTTTTTTTTTTTAGATGGAGTCTCACTCTGTCACCCAGGCTGGAATGCAGTGGCATGATCTCCGCTCACTGCAACCTCCGCCTCCGGGGTGATTCTTTGCCTCAGCCTCCTGAGTAGTTGGGATTATAGGCACCCGCCACCATGCCTGGCTAATTTTTGGATTTTTAGTAGAGATGGGGTTTTGCCATGTTGGCCAGGCTAGTCTCGAACTCCTGACCTCAAATGACCTGCCTGCCTCAGCCTCCCAAAGTGCTGGGATTACAGGCACAAGCCACTGTGCCAGCCGATCTGGCCCCTTGACCTGAGTTTTCCCCAGGTCAGGGAGGTGACTGGCCCAGTATGCCTGGAAATAGCCCTGGTCTCTCCTCCTGGCCTGGCCCACTCGACAGCCTCTGAAACCCTGTGCCTTGTGCCCTCCCCGTTGCCCACTCACCCACAACTGTTTGGATGGGTTCACGATGTAACTTGCGCTTGGTGAGAATGTCAGGGAGGTGGCAGAAGACAGAGATGGTGGAAAAGAGGTGGTTGCCAATGTCATTGACCACACCTGCCAAAGTCTGCAGAGTGGGTGAGAATTCCACCTGTGAGGAACCCAGTGGAGATGGAGAGAAAAGCCTTAGGACTGGGAAGGTCACACACTTCAGCAGCAGGTCTGAAGGCCATAGGATAAAGTCAAGGCCAAGGACCAAGTTTAGGAATTAAGGGAAACTGACAAATAAGATGCAATGGTTTTGAGATGTTGGGGGCAAAGTGGTTCTTACCTGTGCCACACTTCCTTGCAGATCATTCTTCAAAATGACAAGGACTTGGAAGAGTGGGTTTGGGCTGGTCTTTCCATCCCCGTTGATAGCCTTGGATAGTTCTAGCAGTGACCACTTCACATTCAGGCGCAGGGCATCCTCCATCATGCGGTCCAGCCGAATCATGTACAGCATCCACTGCTGCTGAATCTGATGGGATGGAGGGAGGAAAAAGAGAACTTTTCAGGGAAGACAGGGCACATCCTGGGAAGTGAGAACCAGCCAACAGGGAAGGAAACAAGTTGGTTTAATGGAAACGCAGGACGCTGAGTCCTGGAGGAAGAGGTGTGAGGACTGAAGGTTGGCTGAGTCCAAGACTAGAGCACGATGTTTGAGAAGTACACACTGGTAAAAAAGAAAAAAGGGTCGGGGAGCAAGAGAATGGCCTGATGGAACTGGGGGACTGTGGTTTTTCCAACCACAACATCCTGGCCACAGGAACCCTACCTCAGGACCATCATTCTTGAAGACCTCATAGGAGTTGGTCATGATGGTCACCACATCCTGGTGCAGGTTCATCAATTTCTGCTGTACAGCTGCCCGATGCTCTCTTTGGTCCTCTTCAAATTCCAGGTCCCTGTATACCCGTTTGCCACTAATGCGTACCAGCAGCTTCTCTGACATCTCTTGGGCTCGCCAGCCAATGGTCAGAGTGGATGCCTTGAACTCATTCACAATCATCTGCACCTAGAGTCAGGCCCCGTCATGGGGGAGTTTCAGCTCGGGAAGAGACCATCTGGACCTCATTCTACCCTCCCACTTGTTCTCCAGCTAGACTGGATGACACACAAAAAAGTCCTTCCCCAAGCAAACTTAATTCTTTTTACACTACCCCCAGGTTTCCCAATCTCTATGCAACACTCAGGTATAAATGACCCATCAGCCTTGCAGACCTTTAGGGTCTAAGGACCATGGCCCACCTTGCTGGCATGTATACGGCACTCCGTGATGAAGAAGGCACTGGCCCCCTTCAAGGCCCAGTGCAGTTTCTTGAGTCCCGGGTGGATCTTCTTATCCAGGAGCCGAATACGCTCTTTGAATAGGGCCTGCTCATCTGGGGACAGCATGGCAATAATCCTGTGCATAAGAGAGGCCTGGTATCCAGAGGGGACAAGCCCTGAAGATCTTTCCTCCACTTCAGGAAACAGTGGAGAAATGTGAACATTTCTAGACCACTAGTCTAGATTCTAGACTAGATTCTAGACTAGTACTTCCAAAAGAACTTTTTGCAATGATGGAAGTGTTCTCTTAGGTTGGTGCAAAAGTGATTGCCATTTAAGTAATGGCAACAACTGCAATCACTTTGCACCAACTTAATGCGATGTGTGCTGTCCAATATAGCACCCACTCATCACATTTGGCTATGGAGCATTTGAAATGTGGCCTGTACCAATGAGTAATCAAATTTTTAAGTTTATTTACTTAATTTACATGGAAATAGCCACATGCAGCTGGAGGCCACCATGTTGGACACTGCAGTTCTAGACACCCAAACAAGACTGCTGGTTGCACCTCCTTGGACTTTAACTGGGCTGAGAAATTTCCTGCTATCGTCTGAATGTGTGTGTCCCCACCAAATTTATATGTTAAAATCCCCACTCCCACAGTGATGGTGTTAGGACCTCTGGGAGGTGATTAGGTCATGAAGGTGGAGCCCTCATGAATGGAATTAGTGGCTTCATAAAAGAGGCCTAAGAGAGCTCCCTTGTCTCCTTCCACTATGTGAGGACAGAGCAAGAAGATAGCCACCTATGAACCAGGACGCAGGCCCTCACCAGACACCAAATCTGCTGGTGCCTTGCTCTTGGACTCACCAGCCCCCAGAACTGTGAGAAATAAATGTTTGTTGTTTATAAGCCACCCGGTCTATGGCATTTTGTTATAGAAGCCCAAACAGACTAAGACAGTACCTAACCCAGAACAAAGCCTCACTCCAGAGAGAATACCAAGGCAGTCCAGAAACTGAGGCAGGGATGGGGGCAGCAGGGCCTTAGTTCAATGAGTCTGATGTTATTCTGTGCACATAATCCTAATGCCAGCCCGTCTCATTCCTAGAGAACTGGCCCAGAGCTACAATATATATGGTACAAGTGACCAGTGGGGTGGGAGGGGACCTGGTTGGCTTTACTCTCCACCCTGCAGCTAGAAAATAAAACTACAAGGGGTAGGAATAATGATAGGGCCGTAAGAGTGGGAGACAATTTTTTTTTTTTGAGATGGAAAAGATGTAGAGGACAGAAATTGTAGAAAATGAACAACATTACAGGGCAGATAAGAGAAAAAGAAGGAATAAAATAGCATCTTGAAGGGCTGCAGTGAGGACTGAAGCCCTACCTATTGTAGTCTCTAGCAACGAGTAGCAGATTTTCACGCAGAATGCGCAGGTCCTCGGCTCGCTCAGCTACGTTCACCACGTAATGGGGCGTCTCAAACAGCAGCCGCTCCCAGTAGTCAATTTCCGCAAAGAGAATCAGAAGGGACCTTTGAGAGAGAGCAGCCAGGCAGTGAGGGGACCGCACGAGGGGATAAACTAGAGCAACAATCGAACAGGTGGAGAGGCTGGGAAGCACAGGGAAATGTCGAGATGAGAAATGAAGCAGAGGCCTGGTATGGTGGCTCACGCCTGTAATCCCAGCACTTTGTGGGGCCGAGGCAGGCGGATCACTTGAGCTCAGGAGTTTGAGACCAGTCTGGCCAACACGGGGGAATCCCATCTCTACAAAAAATACAAAAATTAGCCGGGCGCAGTGGCGTGCGCCTGTAATCCCAGCTACTCAGGAGAATGAGGCACAAGAATCGCTTAAGCCTGGGAGGCAGAAGTTGCAGTGAGCTGAGATCGCACCACTGCACTCCACAGAGCAAGACCCTGTCTCTAAAACAATAATCATTATAAATAGATAGAAATAATAGAAAATATCCCATTAATAATTTTTATATTGATTGATGTTGGAATGATATTTGGGGAATGTTGGATCAAGTATTAAAATGAATTTCACTGGGGCCAGGCACAGTGGCTCACACCTAATCCTAGCACTTTGGGAGGCTGAGGTAGGTGATCGCTTGAGCTCAGGAGTTTGAGACCAGCCTGGGCAACATAGTGAGACCCCCATCTCTACAAAAAATCAAAAATTAGCCAGGCATGGTAGTGTGAGCCTATAGTCCCAGCTACTCTGGAGGCTAAGCTGGGAGGATTGCTTGAGCCCGGGAGGTGGAGGTTGCAGTGAGCCAAGATCGCACCACTGCCCTCCAGCCTGGGTGACAGAGCTAGATTCTGTCTCAAAATAAATAAATTAATTAGTTAATTCACTTGTTTCTTTTTTTCAAATTTTTTTTAGATGGAGTCCCACTCTGTCACCCAGGCTGGAGTGCAGTGGCGCAATCTCAGCTCACTGCCACCTCTACGTCCTGGGTTCAAGCAATTATCCCACCTCAGCCTCCCGAGTAGCTGGGATTATAGGTGCCCACCACCACACCCAGCTAATTTTTGTATCTTTAGTAGAGGTGGGGTTTTGCCACGTTGGCCAGGCTGGTCTCAAACTCCTGACCTCAGGTGATCCACCCACCTCACCCAGCACCCAAAGTGCTGGGATTACAGGCATGAGCCACCACTCCTGGCCTTTTTTTCTTTATTAAATGAGATATCAGTCAGGAGGCTGAGGCAGGAGAATCGCTTGAACCTGGGAGGTGGAGGTTGCAGTTAGCCAAGATTGTGCCATTGCACTCCAGCCTAGGCAACAGAGACACTGTCTCAAAAAAAAAAAAAGAGATACCAGGCAATTTTAAATTGCATATGAAGCCTTCATCTTAAGTGTCCTTTGCCACCTCATATCCAGTGGCCTCCTCCTTCCTGTTCCAGCTGCCACTCCCATGCCACGCCCTGAAGCTTGCTGTTCACAACCGCTCCACGTCTGAGAAAACCCACTCAGACCTCCTGCTCCCGGGGCCCAGCTTCCTCCCCTGCATCCCAGCATTGGTCCTCAAGTTCTCCCAACCTGCTTATTTTTCAGACCACTGACCCCTGGTTTTTCTTCCTGTTAACCCCCTCCCTACTTCACTTCCTCCTCCACAGACCTTGGTATCCTTTATTTTAGCCACTCTCTCGCCAATCCTCACTCACTTTGTCTCATTCTTTAGTCTAAACCTCCTGACAAAACGCCAGTGCTGGCTAAATCCGACTGTCCTCCCCTCGAGCCCCTGTGGGAAAGGCTGGAGAAGGTCATTGTGGGAAAGGCTGGAGAAGGTCACATGACCACACAGCTTGGCACCACCGTGACTCAGCCTGTCCCACCTGGGTTCTCCAGGCTGCATCCCTGTTCCCTAACCTGCCCTCCCTCCTGTTCTCACAAGTCACTACCTGCAAATCCTTTCCACTCTTCTCAAACCTGGTCTTCCTGTTGCCCTGTTGCCCTCTCTGCAGAAAGCCTCACCTCCTATATCACAGAAATAAAAGGCCATCAGGTGAGAATTCCATCCACTTCCAGCTGTAAAACGTATGCACTTACCTGTTTCCACGCTACAATTTCTCCCATTTATGATAGGACAGTCCCTCCTCCCACCCAAGGCTAACCCTTCTTCCTGGGCTGCCTATTCTTTTTTTTTTTTTTTCTGCCTCAGGCTTATTTGTACCAATAGCGCAGGAGGACCCCAGCCCCATGCAGACGGCAGCCCGGGGTGGGTGGCACCTGTCCTTCTGTCCTCACGTTGGCAGACAGAGATATCTACTCTGAAGTCTTTGTAGGGCACTGGGCAGCTTTGGGAGCCTGAGCTGAAACTGAAGCTGGAGCTGCAGCCTGGGCCTTGGTTTGATCCTTGGCCTTGGCCTTGGGCCGGCACAGCCTGAGCCCCTTGGCCATGCGGGCACGAGCAAGCTTCCCAAGGTTGGGGTGGGCAATGTAGGCAAGTCGATCAAGTTTATGGCTGACACCCTTTGGGATCTTGGGCTTAACCTCCTTGGGCTTTACGAGGGCCTTGAGAGCCTCGGCACGTGGACTCATGGCCTTGGCATTGTTGGTGTGCATCTTCTTTAGGCCCTTCTTTTGTGCTTCTTGGCAAAGCGCATGTTCCTCAGGAACTTGGAGTCCACCCCCTTAAGAGATTTGTATCTTTGTGATCGCGGTTTCTTGATACCATTTCTGTGCCATTTTCGGGACTGGTGGTGTATGGTGTGGACTTGGCCATGTCTGCACCTTAAGCCACGGCTCCTGAAGCACCTAGAACCGGAAGCCTGGGCTGCCTATTCTAGTATAACTTCCTTTCCCTTTCAGATGCCCTCTTCCAGCTCTCCTATACCTTCAATCTACTAGTTCCTTCCCATCATTTAAGTTTGGCCAAGTTTCTACAATATTAAAAGGATAAAAAACAGCGCCCCTTCAACTCCTGTCCTTCTTCAGGTGCCATATCCTGTCCTCCCCTTCACGGCCTGCCTGCTTTAAAGAATGTCGTCCACAGATCCCCGTCACTCTTTTCTTCCCATTCCCTCCTCATCCCTGAGACCTGGCTCCCACTCCACCCATCAAATGCCCTCATCACACTCACCAAGCATCCCCTAGCACTCCACCCCATGGATGCTTCCCAGGCCTTATCCTCCTTGATCTGCCGGTAGGTTTTTCTGCTTGTTTGTTTTTGAGATGGAGTCTTGCTCCGTCGCCCAGGCTGGAGTGCAGTGGTGCGATCTCGGCTCACTGCAACCTCTGCCTCCCCGGTTTAAGTGATTCTCCTGCCTCAGCCTTCCGAGTAGCTGGGACTATAGGTGCGCACCACCATGCCCAGCTTATTTTTGTATTTTTAGTAGAGACAGGGTTTCGTCATGTTGGCCAGGCTGGTCTCGAACTCCTGACCTCAGGTGATCCGCCCACCTTGGCCTCCCAAAGGGCTGGGGTTACAGGCGTGAGCCACAGCACCCAGCAAGCCTGTAGGTTTTAACATGGTAGACTACACCCCACTTTCTTCAAACGCACTCTTTTCCCTAGCTTCTGGACCACGGTCCTCTTTTCTGCCCTTCCTTTCAGTAGGAGTATCCTCCTCTCTCCAGTGTCCCATGTAAATATCATTCAGCTAGGCGCTGGGGATACAGTAAAGAATCTGCTTTCCTTGCAGCTCCCTTCAATGCGGACTCCCCGAGGTTCTTCACATCCAGCCCACTCCCCCTTGGTCATCTCTTCCACTCCCATGGCTTCGGCTGCCTTCCGAAAGCTGATGATCCCCAAACCTGCACAGCTAACCTGAGCTCTGGGCTTCGTTGTGCAACTGTCTACTAGATAGCTCTGCCCTGCTTGCTCGTGCACAAGCACCTCAAACTCAATGTGTCTAGAAACAAGCACATCATCTTCTCTGCAAACTTGGCGCTCCTGCCTCAGGGAAGGGTACTATCCCACCGCCTACACCAGAACCATGCATCCTTCCTCGGCCTTACTTTCCGACATCCAACCTCCTTCTGTTTTTAATATGCTAAAGCAAAGTTCAGAAATTCAGACACCTACCTCCAAGGCAAGTGTGGCTCAAGTGTGATGATAAATGGCAACTGACGCTTGGCCTTAAAGTTGAGCTGAAGAGGACATGCTCCCGCGAAGAAAGCCATGCTCCACGCTCCAGGCAATTGTTGCCATCTGGAAATGTGGGCCCAGTGTGGATGCATTTTCTGATTTTTCAAGAGAGGCCAGAAATTGGTTTTTCATGTAAAATCTCCTGAATTTTAAGTGCTAACAACAATTCACCTGAAAAATAATTATTCAGTGGGCATGTGGGAGAGGCTCTAGGACTCCTGGCAATCCTTGACTTGGGCAGTAGTTTGCAAGGGTGTTTTATTTTGTTATTTTATAATGATTTGTTAGTTAAACTGAACATACAATTTTTTTTCTTTTTTGAGACGGAGTCTTGCTCTGTCACCCAGGCTGGAGTGCAGTGGCGCAATCTCAGCTCACTGCAAGCTCTGCCTCCCAGGTTCACGCCATTCTCCTGCCTCAGCCTCCTGAGTAGCTGGGACTACAGGCGCCCGCCACCACGCCCCGCTAATTTTTTGTATTTTTAGTAGAGACAGGGTTTCACCATGTTAGCCAGGATGGTCTCGATCTCCTGACCTCGTGATCCGCCCGCCTCGGCCTCCCAAAGTGCTGGGATTACAGGCGTGAGCCACCGCGCGCGGCCTGAACATACAAGTTTTACGTATATCTCTGTCTATGACAAGTTTCATAATAAAAATGTTTTTAAAGGAAAAAATGATTTTAAACATATTTGTAAAAGTTGCTAGGTACAAAATTAATTTATAAAAATCAAAGTTCTCAATACAAAAATTGTGACTAGGTAGATATTATCATCAAGAAAAAGAGACAATAACAATTAAAACAACAAAAATAAAATACCAAAAATTAATCAGAAATTGTGTGTGTGTGTGTGTGTGTGTGTGTGTGTGTGTAAAATGACTTAAGGGGAAAAGGCAGGACTTAAATAAATTGAAAGAAAAAACACTGTTGGCCAGGCCCGGTGGTTCACACCTGTAGTTTCAGCTACTTGGGGGGCTGAGGCGGAAGAGGATCAATAAGCCTGGGAGGTCCTAGCTGCAGTGAGCTGAGATCGTGTCACTGCACTCCAGCCTGCATGACAGAACAAGACTCAGTCTCAAAACACGCACACACACACACACACACACACACACCCCACAACTATTCTTGGAAAGACTCAAAATCATAAAGATATTCTTCTAAAGTTAACCTATAAATTTAACCAAATCTCTATTCCTATAAAAATAGGAATGAGACTATTTTTGGAACTAAACAAATTGATTCTAAAATTCTTATGGGAAATAAATATTAAATATAGCCTGGAAAACTCTGAAGAAAGAAGAGTAATGAGGACAATAATTAAAACAGTTTGGTTCCTGCACATGAATAGACAGATACCAGAATAGAGAATCCCAAAATAGACACGAATATACTCGGGAATGTGTTACTATAAAGATAGTAGTTCACTAAATGAGATTGGGTCAACTCTAAATGAGATGGCTCTAGCCATCAGGAAAAAACAAACAAACAATGAAATACAAAACTCAATTTGAATCTGCACCTCTTTCTCTACACCAAAATAAATTTCAAATGGATCAAACATCTAAATGTAGAGAATAAAATCATAAAATACCAGAAGAAAATATGGAATATTTTTTAAAATAAAATTAAAAAAAAATCTTGGCCTGGTGTGGTGGCTCATGCCTGTAAGTTCAGCATTTTAGAAGGCCAAGGTGGGTGGATCATTTCAGGTCAGGAGTTTGAGACCAGCCTGGCCAACATGGTGAAACCCCATCCCTACTAAAAATCCAAAAATTAGCCAGAAATCGCTTGAACCCAGGACGCAGAGGTTGCAGTCAGCCAAGATGGTGCCACTGTACTCCAGACTGGACAACAGGGCAAGACTCCCCCTCAAAAAAAAAATGAATAAATAAATAAATAAATAAATAAATAAATAACTTGATTTTTTTTAATCTGCAGGGCTTTTAAAATAAAATTGCACTTTTTAATCACAAAGGATAAACATTCCCACGACCTGAAGATATGCTCAAGAAACTTTGCATTCTAAATACTGCTGAAATGTTATTTGGAAAGAATATTGAGGTGAAAATTCTAGAATTTTTTTAGTCTTTTCTACACTGAATTAACAATATTGGAGATAATAACACATTTCAAACTTTGCAAAGGATTGTGTTTTTACCGTCTTTATTGGAGAAGAATCCTCCAAGAATGAAATGATTTTCAAGTGCTCACTTATTTGTGATACAGGCTTTAAGAGATTGTGGAAGAAGAAATGCTGTTTTTTCAAACCCTGAAGATCTCCACTAACGTATGTGGTATTTTTAAAACTGCTAAAATATCTTCAAAGTGAGTAAGCCTCTTGAAAGTATAAATGAGCAATGAATCACCAGGCATTTAAGGAAAGCCTCCAAAGTAAAAGAGAGAGGCCAAAGCCAAAGACAATTACTATAAATCGGCTAGAATTCCAAACCCAGCCAAATGTACAACAAGCAGAGGGCAGGAAAACAGTTGTCAATCATGCAAAAACTCAAAAGATTTACCTCCCCTGCACCATTTCTTAGGAAGCTACTAATGGATACACACCAACAAAACAAAGGCGTAAACCAAAAAAGAGGAAGACAAAGGAAACATGAAATCAAACAAGGAAAGAGGCTGAGGGAAGTCCCGGGGTAACTGCTTTGTAACAGGCCTTGAAAACAACACCAGCTGGACAGAAGCAGGAGGACAGGAAAAAAACAGATCTAAGAAAAACATTGAAACCAATACCCAGTATGTCAGATTGTGAGGAAAAATACTACTCAAAGGGATTTTATTGGTTGGTTTGGAGGACTTAGTGATAGTGAATGCTGCGCTAGCAAAAATAATGAGGTGGCCAGGCACAATGGCTCACACCTGTAATCCCAGCACTTTGGGAGGCTGAGGTGTGTGGATCACCTGAGGTAGGAGAATCGCTTGAACCTGGGAAGCAGAGCAGAGATCCTGGGCAACAGAGCGAAATTCCATCTCAAATAATAATAATAGTAATAACGATAATAATGAGGTAATTTTTCTTTTTTTGAGACAGAGTCTCGCTCTGTCGCCCAGGCTGCAGTGCAATGGCGTGATCTCAGCTCACTGCAACCTCTGCCTCCCGGGTTCAAGCGAGATTCTCCTGCCTCAGCCTCCTGAGTAGCTAGGATTACAGCCACCCGCCACCATGCCCAGCTATTTTTTGTATTTTTAGTATAGACGGGGTTTCACCATGTTGGCCAGGCTGGTCTCGAACTCCTGACCTCGTGATCCACCCACCTCAGCCTCCTGAAGTGCTGGGATTAGAGGCATGAGCCACCACACCTGGCCTAATAATGAGGCAATTTTAAATTCCAAATTGAGCAAAACATTGTACAAGCAAAAGAACTATAACAATGTAAAATTACTCAACTCAGCAGTGAACAATCCTAATAGAGTCATAATAAGATAAGCCCTAAACATCAATGTAACAAAAAGTTGTGTTATAATGATATGGGGAGATTGGAAGTGTGTGAATAGATACAGAAACATTTCTAGTAGCATAAACGTATTATCATGTCCTTCAAACTGGATGTCTTGGATTTGTCACTGTTGATAAACATCTGAGCAAGCCTACTTGGGCATGTATGCTGGCCAACATTGCACCAAAACAAATTCTTCATTCTCTCATCTTGGCAAGATTTTCTTTTTTCTTTCTTTTTTTTTTTTTTTTTTTTTTTTTTTTTTTTTTTTTTTTGGGGGGGAGTTTAGCTCTTGTTGCCCAGGCTGGAGTGCAATGGCGCAATCTCGGCTCACCACAACCTCTGCCTCCCAGGTTCAAGCAATTCTCTTGCCTCGGCCTCCTGAGTAGCTGGGATTACAGACGCTTGCCACCATGCCCGGCTAATTTTGTATTTTTAGTAGAGACAGGGTATCTCCATGTTGGTCAGGCTGGTCTCGAACTCCTGACCTCAGGTGATCCACCCACCTCGGCCTCCCAAAGTGCTGGGATTACAGATGCGAGCCACCGCATCCGGCCAAGGCAAGATTTTCAAGATAACTTTAAGGCAAATTATCCAAGTTTAATATGTCAGTCAACAGGATGAATTCAGACAATACCTTCCTGATGCTGAGCTGAAAATCCTGGGAGAAACTTTGAATGATGTTCAGTCTTTAACTGAAGTTTGTCAAGAAATTTCCAGAATGCAAATTTTATTTCATTGACAAATATCAGTTTTTCTTTAAAAAAAAAAAAAAATCTGTGTGGCGAGGCTGGGCAAGGTAGCTTAGGCCTGTAATCCCAACGCTTTGGGAGGCTGAGGTGGGTGGATGGCTTGAACTCAGGAGTTCGAGACCAGCCTGGGCAACATGGTGAAAACCCATCTCTACCAAAAATAGAAAAAATTAGCTGGGCATGGTGGCAGGCACCTGTGTTCCCAGTACTCAGGAAGCTGAGGTGGGAGGGTTGCTTGAGCCCGGGAGGCGGAGGCTACAGTGAGCCAAGATTGCACCAGTGCACTCCAGCCTGGGTAACACAGTGAGACCTTGTCTCAAAAAAATAAATAAATAAAAATCTGTCTGGGGGATGACTTTTTAAAAATACTTCATAATTTATCTCCAAACAAGTGGTCAGGCAGTAGAGGTAGAAAGGAAAGCCAGAGGAATTGAGTGGTTAGAGCCCAGAGCGGGCTGACCCGGGGGGAAAAGGCACTCTGTGACCGGGGAAAAAAGAGAGAGAAGCTCTGGGAACAAAAAACAGACCTCAGTATCTCGTCTCCTCCTCTCAGGAAATTCTACTCTGCTCCACACAGGGTGATAATACAGCTCCTTCAGCCAGGGTGTGGATGACATCTGGAATATGTTTGTGTTAAGTGCAATCTGTGAAGCTGTTCTGTCCGTAAAACGTGATAAAAGCCAATTTGGACTTCAGAGTTCAAATATTTGGGATATAGGTGGGATACCAAAACCCCTTGTGGGATTAAATCAGTGCTATTAGGGACTGGAAGGCTCCAGGACTAAGAGAGCCAGGTAATTCCGAGGAACATCAGAACATTTGGACAGTCTGCTTATTTCAAGATCTTAACTGGAGCTTGAACACAAAGAGCAAATCTGATAAAGTTATCTTCACTTCCTTGAAGTGTTAATAAGTTTTGGAAGCTGTAACTGACTTGGATTTCTTTACTGGTGATGAGCCCAGACTTTCAAAATCCTTCACTGTGATCGTGTTCTTTCCCTTCCATTATTTACTGGATTGAGGCAGTTTTATCTTAAAACCACAAAAATGTAAAGTATCCTATAACATCTCTCTGGAAAACAATCCCCAAAGGACAGAAACAGGCACCTCTTCTATCTGGAAGACGTGTTTCGCCATTATTTGGATTTCAGATAAACCCAAGCCATAAATATTTGGCCCAAAGTTGCCTTGATAAGCTCTACTATCAAGATTATGCAGAAGGTATTCCAGACAAGAGATGATAATAGCAGACAGAGAAGTTGTCTCCTGGTTTATCCTAACTAGAGGGACACTGTGTTCAAATTTCAGTAAACACAGTGCTGCAGAGGGAAGGGAACAAAGTGCGGGAATCACAGTTGAAATCCACCAGCACGGAATAGTCAAGAACCTTACAGAAACTGTACAATTTATAAGTCCATCAATAGTAGACTGGTTCATTAAATTACAGTACAGCCATACTATGATTTCATACTGCAAGCCAGGAAAAAGAATTAAGTAATTCTATACATACAGAATGAAAGATCCCCCACACAGATTGTTAACCTTAAAAAAAAAGCAAGGTGTGACGGGGTGCAGTGGCTCCCAGCACTTTGGGAGGCCAAGGTGGGAGGATCACTTGAGGCCAGAAGTTCCAGACCAGTCTGGGCAACATAGCAAGACCCTGTCTCCACATTCAAAAAAAAAGGCAAGTTGCAAAAATGCCATTCATGATGTGATTCTATTTCATATATGCAGGATATATTTTTGATTACATGATAATCATGGTTACCTCTAGGGATTGGGGATATGTGCTGAATTTTCACTTTTTCCCTTACAAGCTTCTTTTTTTTTTTTTTTTTAATTTTGAGATAAAGTTTCACTCTTGTTGCCCAGGCTGGAGTGCAATGGCGCATTCTCGGCTCACTGCAACCTCCGCCTCCCGAGTTCAAGTGATTCTCCTGCCTCAGCCTCCCAAGTAGCTGGGATTACAGGCGCACGCCACCATGCCTGGCTAATTTTTGTATTTTTAGTAGAGACGGGGTTTCACCATGTTGGCCAGGCTGGTCTTGAACTCCTGACCTCAGGTGATCTGCCCACCTTGGCCTCCCAAAGTGCTAGGATTACAGGCATGAGCCACCATGCCAGCCATTTCTTTACATACTTCTGCATTAATCTTTTGTTTTTCTTAACAGTGAGCATGTAGTGTTTTTGTCATTTTAAAATACCCAGTAAAGATTTAAAAGATTAAAGGAAAACAACCAAATGAAATGGAGGGTGGGGAGGAAGTGATAAAAATATACCAAATCATTAAAAGTGGTTATTCTTAGGAGTATTTTTTTCTTCATTCTACTTTTCTGCATTTTGCAAATGTTCTAAAATGATCAATAATTTTATAATGGAAAAATTAATCATTTTGAAAGCACTTGGAATATATAGAACAATATGTATAGTACACTACTATTTATGCAAAAAAGGATACTTAAGTAGACATATATGTCTATTCCTGGAATATTATACAAGAATCTGAAACACTGACTGTCTTCAGAGTGAAACTGGGTCCCCTAGGGGACAGCAGAGGAGCAGGCTTTTCATTCTCTATCCTTTTGTAGAATGACTTTTGAATTTTACACTGTATGCCTATATTAGCCCTTTGTAAAGGTTAAAATGTTTTAAAAACTAAAACTGTTACATCACTCTGCTACATTTGTTTTGAAAATACTATCTTCATCAAGTTTTATGAGGCAATTGTTTTGAAGGGGGCAAGAATGCTTCTTGGTTGTTCATTCTTTGTGAGGACCTTTGCGTGAGTCATCAGCTGCCCGATAATGCCAGGAAAGGGTTTTTTAAGTAGATGAGGAAACTCAGGCTCAGAGAAATTCAATGGCCCGCCTGAGGTCACGTGGCAAAATGCTCCAGGGTTTGAACTTGAGACTGTTTAGCACTGAAGTTGATGCTGTATCTACTCTCGCTGGCTGACCCCTGGCGAGTAGAAGGAGGTAGCCACCAACCAGTGCTCACATATGGCATTTCTTTTTTCTTTTCTTTTTTTTTTTTTTTTTGTTTGAGACAGGGTCTGGCTTTGTCGCCCAGGCTAGAGTGCAGTGGCACGATCACAGCTCATTGCAGCCTCAATATCCTGGGCTCAAGCAATCCTTCCACCTCAGCCTCCTGAGTAGCTGGGACTACAGGCATGCACCACTATGCCCGGCTAATTTTTGTTTATGCCCCCACTGATCTTGGACTCCTGGGCTCAAGCGATCCTCCCGCCTTGGCCTTCCAAAGTGTTGGGATTCTAGGCATGAGCCACTGCGCCAGCCACATATGGCATTTTTTTTAAATTTAACTTTTATTTCAAGTTCAGGGGTACATGTGCAGGTTTGTTATATAGGTAAAATTGTGTCATGAGAGTGTTGTACAGATGATTTTGTCACCCAGGTATTAAGCCTAGTACCTATTAGTTAGTTTTCCTGATCCTCTCCTACCTCCTACACACACACAGCATTTCTTTACCTCTTGTCTCAACTTTTGTTTTCTCTCATATTTGAAATGTAAATACTTGGCCAGACACAGTGGCTCATGCCTGTAATCCCAGCACTTTGGGAGGCCGAGGTGGCCAGATCACCTGAGGTCAGGATTTTAAGACCAGCTTGGCCAACATGGCAAAACACCATCTCTAATAAAAACACAAAAATTAGCCGGGCGTGGTGGCGGGCGCCTGTAATCCCAGATACTCGGGAGGCTGAGGCAGGAGAATTGCTTGAACTCAGGAGGCGGAGGTTGCAGTGAGCCAAGATTGCGCCACTGCACTCCAACCTGGGCGACAGAGTGAGACTCTGTCTCAAGAAAAAAAAAAAAAGAAATGTAAAGATTGATCATTAGTGTTTAAGGAAATCCTGTTATTTGAATACAATCCCTTATTTCACAGAAAAAGGACAGCTGGTGAACTGTGTGCCCTCATATCCATAAACACCAAGGGCATCTGTGCGGCTCCCCTGACACAATAACTTTGGGGGTACCCAGCTCGATGGGAGAATGTGTCTTGCAGGTTCAACCCCATTATGCGCTTGCAAATGGCGTAACTAGGCTAACTCTGGCCTAGTTTCTCAGTCTTCAGAATCTTATCGTTGATTTATGAGGCAATGTTTACGTGGCTGTGCTTGGCCATAACTCACAAAACCAGGAAGCTCAGCAAAGCCAATCTCCAACAACTCTCACTACTCGAAGCCTTTTCTCAAACCTCTCGACCTAGCCATGTGCACACTCTGCTCCTCAACGGCTTCCTCATCCCTGCAGCTCCCAACATCCCTGTCCTCCTCACTGATGCCTCTGCCTCACCCCTCTCACCTGACACTCCGCTCTGCTTCTCCATCCTGGTTCTTTTGCTTCCTTTCTCAGCCAGAATGTGCCCTCTTCCCCTGGTTGGGCCACCTTTTGCTGCCCAGGACAAACACTCACAGTCTCATCTGTCCCTGGGACTCCGTCTCCACACAGCACTTCTCTGGCAAAGCCCCTCCTACATTTGGCCCCACAAGCATTTTTTTTTTTTTTTTTTTTTTTTTGAGACGGAGACTCACTCTGTCGCCCAGGCTGGAGTGCAATGGCGTGATCTCGGCTCACTGCAACCTCCGCCTCCCGGGTTCAAGCGATTTTCCTGCCTCAGCCTCCCAAGTAGCTAGGATTATAGGCACCTGCCACAATGCCCAGCTAATTTTTGTATTTTTAGTAGAGACAGGGTTTCGCCATGCTGGCCAGGCTCAAGCATGGACATTTTATGAGTGGAATCCAACACTAGTAGCCACAGCCTCAAAGCATCTTATGTGGACAGGAAGCCCCACTCCAAGAGTAGAGCTGTTGACTTAGAAAGCAGCAGCCTAACCTCCCTGAGGGCAGGGACTTGGCCGTTGTGTACATTCCCTGCCTGTTCCTATTTCAGTTCCTGACACATGGAAGGTGCTCACTATATATTTTTAATAAATTAGTTAATTGATTAATTACATTTTAAATAATTATAGTATGACAGTTTCATAACAATGAAGCTGTAGAAGAAGGCATGGTCTGACAGCCCCACCAACAGTCAGGAAAGGGACAGGGTTTGGGTGACTTAGCTGAGCCATTATGGCCATCTAGTGGCAGAACAGCGACATCACTGGTTTAGTCAGATAGTGGAGTGGTTTTTGATTTTTGTTTTTGAGGCAGGGTCACTCTGTCGCCCAGGCTGGAGTGTAGTGGTGTGATCTCAGCTCACTGCAGCCTCTGCCTCCCGGGCTCAGGCGATCCTCCCACCTCACCCTCCCAAGTAGCTGAGACTACAGGCTTGTGCCACCACGCCCAGCTAATCTTTGTATTTTTTGCAGAGACTGGGTTTTGCCATGTTGCCCAGGCTGTTCTCAAACTCCTGGGCTCAAGCGATGCGCCCACCTCAGCCTCCCAAAGTGCTGGGATTACAGGTGTGAGCCACCGTGCCTGGCCGATCATTGTTTTGTTTTGTTGTGTTTTAAGATAAGTTGTAAAATTAAAATGTTGATAGCAGGGTGGGAGGTGGGGAGAGACAAAAATAAAAGAAGAAAAAAAAAAGTAAAATGACGATAGCAAACATATTGTATGAGAAAGAGAGAGAATAATGAAGAGAGGAGTCAAAAGATGGGAGTGAAATTCTTGGGAGAGCTGCAGAAGGGGAGTATAGGGAAAAGGGGCCAGGTGGCTCCTGTACTTGTCAAAGTTGACATCCAGCATGCCCGCCTTCTCCTGGCTGATTCGCAGCAATGGGGTATCCAACCGCCGAATGCAATCCTTGTCCAGACTTGATGTCCACTCTTGGAAGGTTTTTCGAACCAGCTCATCAATGGCCTGGACCATCTGCTGATAGGTGTGCACACTCTCCTTTCCAGTCCCAATACGGGGCAGGAAATGAGCACCAGCAAGGCACTGAGGGGAAGAAGAACAGGTGGGTGGAGTCGGCCTGCCACCTTCCTCCAGGGGCCACCATCTCCCTGAGACCTACACATGCGCGCATGCGCACATACCCCAACAATATGCATAAGGCTTGCTATGGAGATGGATTGAGTTTTGATAACTTAGAAGGAAGGTAGAGTCAAAAAGGAAGGTGATAGGAAGAGACCAAGGCGCAATGAGAAAAGGAGTCAAAATGAGGAAAGAGAAGCACAGAGAATTTGTTTAGGAAAAAAAGCTGGGAGAAAAAGGTCAGTCACAGAAGGAGCAGGATATGAGGCACAAGGTTGAAAACCAGTATCAGCCCTTCCTAGCCTGGGCGTAGTCCACCAGGCCCAAACCAGCCTCCAGCTATCTGCAGGCTGCCTAACTCTCTACCAGCACCAGCTGCATGATGGCAGGTCACTACCTCAACAGCTTTCAACCTTTATTCCCAAAGGGTGTGTGTGTTCATTTGTTTGTTTTGTTTGTTTGTGACAGAGTCTCTCTCCACCACCCAGGCTGGAGTACAGTGGCGCGATCTCGGCTCACTGCAACTTCTGCCTCCAGGGTTCAAGCAATTGTCCTGCCTTAGCCTCCCAAATAGCTGGGATTACAGGTGCCCGCCACCACACCTGGCTAACTTTTTGTATTTTTAGTAGAGACAGGGTCTCACCATGTTGGCCAAACTGGTCATGAACTCCTAACTTCAAATGATCCACCCACCTTGGCCTCCCAAAGTGCTGGGATTACAGGTGTGAGCCACCGCACCTGGCCCCAGAAAGTTTTAAAACAATGTTTTTCTGTTGTTTCTTTGTGCTGTCTTTCCAGAGAGACCAGGCTCTGTAAGGGTGTCACCTGTCCAGGTCTCTGGATCATGAGGCTGTATCTTCTACTGACCCAACACCCCAGATACCGGCCCTATTCCTCCTCTGCAGCCTGATATGAAATTCCTAAAATGAGGCCGGGCGCAGTGGCTCATGCCTGTAATCCCAGCAATTTGGGAGGCCAAGGTGGGTGGATCACCTGAGGTCGGGAGTTCGAGACCAGCCTGACCAACATGGAGAAACCTCTTCTCTACTAAAAATACAAAATTAGCCGGGCGTGGTGGTGCATGCCTGTAATCCCAGCTCCTGAGAGGCTAAGGCAGGAGAATCGCTTGGACCTGGGAGGCGAAGGTTGCGGTGAGCCGAGATCACACCACTGCACTCCAGCCTGGGCAACAAGAGCAAAACTCCATCTCAGAAAAAAAGAAAAAAGAAAAAGAAGCCGGGCGCGGTGGCTCACGCCTGTAATCCCAGCACTTTGGGAGGCCCAGGTGGGTGGATCATGAGGTCAGGAGACTCAGACCATCCTGGCTAACACGGTGAAACCCCATCTCTACTAAAAATACAAAAAAATTAGCTGGGTGCGGTGGCGGGCACCTGTAGTCCCAGCTACTCGGGAGGCTGAGGCAGGAGAATGGTGTGAACCCGGGAGGCAGAGCTTGCAGTGAGCTGAGATCGAGCCATTGCACTCCAGCCTGGGCGACAGTGTGAGACTCCGTCTCAAAAAAACAAAAAGAAAGGAAGGAAGGAAGGAAGGAAGGAAGGAAGGAAGGAGGGAGGGAGGGAGGGAGGGAAGGAAGGAAGAAAGAAAGAAAGAAAGAAAGAAAGAAAGAAAGAAAGAAAGAAAGAAAGAAAGAAAGAGAGAGAGAAAAAAAAGAAAGGAAGGAAGAAAAGAAATTCCTAAAATGGCGCATGTTCTACCAGCCTCACACACCACCTCTGCAGATCTTAACCCACGACTGACCTCACTGAACTGGACCTGCCACTCCCCTCACCGACATAGGTGCTGGTCCTGAAGACTCTTTGGGGAACCTCTCAGGAGCCATCCCCCATCCCTCCTGGCGGTCTCACTGACGACAGAATATGGAGAAGGCCAGGCACTTACGGTCATGACTCTGTCGATGCGACGCCGGAGGATGTGCACCCAGCGCGCCTTTCCGGAATACTGGGCCACGTAGGGCTCCAGGTCTGGCCATTTCTTGTTCCGTTCACGGTTCACCAGGGCCAGCTCGCTATTGAACAGCATGTAGAGATCCACCGCCTTCTTGTCATAAGTCCGCTTGATAGCCTAGGGAAGAAGAGGAAGAGGCTGGCGACGTGCCCGGGAAGGCGGGTTCCCTCCGGTCACTCATCCCAGAGGAAAGCTGCACCCCGCTGCGGGAGTCACACTCCCGGGGACGCCGAAGCCAGGGAACAGAAGAAAGACAAGAGGCGCCCGAATGCTGGACATGGAGAAGGGCACACGTGGAGGCAGGAGGGCCTCCGGAAGGAGGGACTCCAGGAAAGCACGCGGGACGGGAAGCCGAGGAAGCCGCGGGGCAGCCGCACCTCGCGGGAGGCAAGCCTGTGGAAGGTGTCCAGCAGAAGCACGCCGTGCGGCACGTCCCGCACCAACTCGAAGGCTGAGGTGATCAGGTTCTGGGTCATCACCTCCAGGTCCTTGATTCCGGCACGGAACCTGCACCGGTGGAGAGGCATGTGGCAGCTGAGTGCCCTCGCCTGCCCCCAACTCCAACCCCTGAGGAAGAATCCCATGCATTGCTGAGGACAGAGGGCTTCCTGTGTGCCAGGCACTCCAAGTACTTTACCTACATGAATCCATTTAATCCTCAAAACAATGCTGTGAGATGGGCTCTATCTCTAACCGTATTGCATAGAGGAGGAAGTGGAGACAGCTGGTGGAGTAATTTGCCCAATGTCATATATCTGGTATGTGGCAGAACCAAGATCCAAGTCCGGAAAGGCTCACTCTGGAACCCTCAACCCAAGCTGCCACCCCCCTCCCCTGCACTCTCTCCTGTCCCCCCCCCCGGGCCACCGCCCTGATCCCGATCTGTCCTTCCACCATTTCCTTTGCATACTCTCGCCACTCCTCCCACTCTTGGCTGCCTGATCTGCCTTCCCTGCCCACGCCTGGCATCAGCCTGTGGTTCCCTCACTTATTGTAGTCTTCATGCCAACAGGTGTTCTTGACATCCAGGATACCCCCGCGAACGGCTCGCAGCGTGTGCAGATTTTTATGAAAGATGTCCTCAATCTCCAGCAAGTTCCGTGTTATCTGTGGCCCCTGGGCACCAAAGAAGCAAGGAAGGGGACCCTGCTTGCCATCTTCCCAGCGGGCGAAGTGATACTGACAGTCACATACCTAAAAAAGAAGACAGCATGAGGGTTCCTGCTTTCCTTCCAAACTCCAAAGTCCTAAGCTATTTGGTTTAGCTTCAAATGTCTAAAAACATCACTGTGAGTGATGGCAAGTGAAAAAAAAAAAAAGAAGAAGAAAATATCTAAAAACCAGGGAGGGCCAACCAGCTGCAGGGGGCTGCTGGGATGAACTTTGGCCACAGAATGAAATATGAAATAGTAGGGCAGCGATAAGAGGCAAATGCCAGAAAAAGCGGTGTGGTAGTAGGACACACAATTGTGCAGGAAAAGCCAATGTGGTAAGTGCAATTTTCTTTTCTTTTATTTTTTTGAGACAGAGTCTCTCTCTGTTGCCCAGGCTGGAGTGCAGTGGCATGATCTCGGCTCACTGCAACCTCCGCTTCCCGGGTTCAAGAGATTCTCCTGCCTCAGCCTCCCAAGCAGCTAGGATTACAGGTATGCACCACCAGGCCCGGCTAATTTTTGTATTTTTAGTAGAGACGGGGTTTCACCATGTTGGCCAGGCTGGTCTCGAACTGCTGATCGCAGGTGATCTGCCCGCCTCAGCCTCCCAAAGTGCTGGGATTACAGGCGTGAGCCACCGCGCCTGGCCATAAGTTCAATATTTAGCCTCTGCCCCGTTTGCCCTGGTTCCTGGGGTGGGAGGTGGGGAGGGATTCTGGAGGGTCTGCTGTTAGCTTTTGGTTCTTCAGTCTTCCCACCTCAATAAGGTCCTTGCAGCGCTGCACAAAGGCATCAACCTGAGCAAAGATGCTGGTCTGATCTAGGACCCAGCCCCGACTGGAGAACCTGTGTCAGGAGAAAGGCCGACTGAATTGGAAGGCAAGAGCAGTCTGGCTATGCAAACCTAGACCAGGAGCCCTGCATTCAGGGAAAGCCCTAGAAAAATCAGACCCCGAGAAACAACCCTCCTGAATCCCAAAGGACAAGACTCAAGGTGAGAAGAACCAGACAGGAGACAGAGCATCTAAGTTCTAGGAGCAGATTCATACATAATAGAATTTTAGACGATGGGGTCAAGATAGGAGGAAAAGACCAGGTAGGGTTCCTGGGATCAGGGAGGAGAGATTATTAAAATAAGAAGCCAGGCAGGGCGTGGTGGCTCACGCCTGTAATCCCAGCACTTTGAGAGGCCAAGGCGAGCAGATCACAAGGTCAGGAGATCGAGACCACCCTGGCTAACACGGTGAAACCCTGTCTCTACTAAAAATACAAAAAATTAGCCTGGCATGGTGGCGGGCACCTGTAGTCCCAGCTACTGGGGAGGCTGAGGCAGGAGAATGGCATGAACCTCGGAGGCTGAGCTTGCAGTGAGCTGAGATCGCGCCACTGCACTCCAGCCTGGGTGGCAGACCAAGACTCTGTCTCAAAAAAAAATTAAAATTAAAATTAAAAAACAAAAAAGGAGAAGCCAGGGCAATGAGATACAGTATCTGTATCCAGACAGAAAATTTGGCCAGATGTAGAAACTCCTGGGTCTCGGAAAATACAACCAAGAGGCTAAACAAAGTGTACAGGAAAGAAGTCAGAATCTACCCTCTTACAGGGCTGACAAGGGAGTTGAGACATGGGATGTTAGGGGAGGCGTATCATACTGGATGTGCATCTGCACAGCCTGTACGTAGTGATCTTTCCAAGCGTGACAACAGAGAATGCAGCCTTGCAGGTCCTCCTTGCTGGAAGAGACATATCCCTCAAAGATCCGGTCCAGGGAGATGGCGTGGCAGCATAAGCGGATGATCTCATTGCTCATCTGCAGAAGGAGTCCCCACAGCCTCTGTCCCCACCTCCTTGACACCCAACTCCTTCTCTGCATCCCCCTGCCCGTGCTTCATGTCTCAGCCCCCTACTCCTTAATTTGACTCCTGAAACTCATCCCACCCCTGGTTCTCCACCCCTGGCCAGGCCGACACCTCTGGGTTCCATGCCCACTCCTTGTCCTAGGTGGCCCCTTACTCTGCCTCAGCCCAGCTCTGCAGCCACCCTGCCCAGCAAGGTCTCAGCTCAGTGTCCCTTCTCCCACTCTTTGGCTTTTTCACCCCCAGTGAATGCACCAGGCCCTGCTCCTCAAGAGCCGGTGCTCCTTCCTAAATCCCCTCTCCCCCACTGCAATCTCCATCTTGAGGAATGGGAAGAAGAGCTTTTCCTTCCACACAGCTCAGCTTGGGGGTCTGTTCTTCCTGCTGCTTCCCCGTCTTCCACCAACTCCTCTTCTGAAGCCCCTCTTCCTGCCTAAGCCACCTCCACCTAGAAACAGAAAGTCCAGCCCAGGCTCCAATGCTGAGCAACCCTAAAGCAGATCATGCCGGTAGAAGCCTTCTGAGCTCAGTCTCTGAGCAGAAGGGCAATCTTCACTACCTTTTCAACCACAGATCCTCTGCCGAATGCATTCCCCCTGCTTCAGAAAACCCGGCCACCCTCATAAACCCCTCCATCCCACCCTCAGCATATGCACACCTTTCGGAAGAGCGAGGTCAGTCTCTCCCGAGTGTTGTAGTGGGGAGAGTTGACCCAGATGATGCGGATGAGACTGATCAGCTTAGGGAGCTTGCTAGAGATGTCCTTGGGCTTCATGAAAGCCAACTCCTGGTAAGGTTCCTTCAGGATTGACAAAAAGGTCAGGTTTGACTGTGCTTGACGAGAGCCATCCTGGCAGTAAAGAGAGATGAGAAATAGATTTATGCACTAGAAAGCACTGATTCAACACAAGTGCTTTTATTTATTTATTTATTTTAGATGGAGTTTTACTCTTGTCACCCGGGCTGGAGTGCAATGGCGCGATCTCAGCTCACTGCAACCTCCGCCTGCCAGGTTCAAGCAATTCTCCTGCCTCAGCCTCCCAAGTAGCTGGGATTACAGGTGCCCACCACAACGCCCAGCTAATTTTTGTATTTTTAGTAGAGATGGGGTTTCACCATGTTGGCCAGACTGGTCTCGAACTCCTGACTTTGAGTAATCCACCTGCCTCAGCCTCCCAAAGTGCTGGGATTACAGGCGTGAGCCACCACGCCCAGCCCACAAGTGCTTTTTAACCATCTTCAACCCCATTCTGACTTGCCTCTAAGAGGAATCCCTCCCATCAGCCCTACACAGTAGCGATCATTTCAGGTCTCTGTGAGCCTTCGGACCAGAGTTAGCACATGTCAACTTTTCTTTTCTCATGTGTGTGCCCTAGCTCCCCTACCAGACTAAGAATTCCCTCGAGTCTAGATTTTTCTAGATTTTGTGTCTGTTTTCTCCAGTTGAATTCAGGACTCCGCACTAAGTGGATACTCTGTTGCTGTCGGATCAACTGGCCGCATATCACTCTCATTCGTCCCCATAGTTGTCACCCAGTTCCCTTTCACTGCCCTGTTCTCAGCCAGGGCTTTAGGCTCCTCCAGTTAGTTCTGGCTCAATTCCCTTAATGCCCAGCTGAAATTTTCACCTAGGAAGACAGGTCTTCTATCTGTATTCTACAGGCCACTCTTACCTCCTGTGTGACCTAGCACTAACATAATCAGCCTGTCACATCATATCAAATTTTTTTTTAATGTTTATTGCCCAGGTGTGGTGGCTCACACCTATAATCTCAACACTTTGGGAGGCCGAGGATCACCAGGAGTTTGAGACCAGCCTGGACAACATAGTGAGATCCTGTCTCTACAAAAAATTTAAAAATTAGGCCGGGCGAGGTGGCTGACACCTGTAATCCCAGCACTTTGTGAGGCCGAGGCGGGTGGATCACCTGAGGTCAGGAGTTCGAGACCAGCCTGGCCAACATGATGAAACTCCGTCTTTACTAAAAATACAAAAACTAGCCAGGCATGGTGGTGGGCACCTGTAATCTCAGCTACTCGGGAGGCTGAGGCAGGAGAATCGCTTGAACCCAGGAGGCAGAGGTTGCAGTGAGCCGAGATCGCGCTACTGCACTCCAGCCTGGTCGACAGAGCAAGACTCTGTCTCAAAATTATAATAATAAAAAAAATTAACAATTGAGCTGGGTGAGGTAGCTCACGCCTGTAATCCCAACACTTTAGGAGGCTGAAGTGGGTGGATCACTTGAGCTCAGGAGTTTGAGACCAGCCTGGGCAACATAGCAAAATCCTGTCTCTACAAAAAATACAACAGTTAGCCGGGCATGCTGGTGCACACCTGTAGTCCCAGCTACTCAGGAGGCTGATGTGGGAGGATCCCTTGAGCCCAGGAGGTAGAGGTTGCAGTGAGCCGAGATCGTGCCACTGCACTTCAGCCTCCAGCACCCTGTCTCAAAAGGAAAAAAAAAGAAATGAAAAGAAAAGAAAAAGAGCCAGGTGCGGTGGCTCACGCCTATAATCCCAGCACTTTGGGAGGCCAAGGTGGGTGGATCACCGAGGTCAGGCATTTGAGACCAGCCTGACTAACACGGTGAAACCCCGTCTCTACTAAAAACACAAAAATTAGCCAGGCTTGGTGGCGGGCACCTGTAATCTCAGCTACTCAGGAGGCTGAGGCAGGAGAATCCCTTGAACCTGGGAGGCAGAGGTTGCAGTGAGCTGAGATCGCACCACTGCACTCCAGCCTGGGCAACAGAGCCAGACTCTGTCTCAAAAATAATAATAAAAAAGAAAAGAAAAAGAAAAAAAGTATTTATCCCTTTTCCTTGGATTTTCCTTGGAAGGCAGATTCAAACAAAGAAAAAAGGTATTTATCTTGTAATTCCTGGACTGAACCACATGAGCTCATCTTTGGCTCCCACGCTGTCTAGTAATCCTGTTTTGGGTAATCTTATTTTCCCAGCTGGGTGGCAGGGGTTGTGCTCACAGAAGGTACTTGATGTATATTTATTGGTTAACTTGATGTCTCTCTCCTTAGGGACCCTCTATTCTACTATTTTATACTCTCCTGCAAGTACAAGGCCGAACCCTGGGTGGGTCAGTCTGTGCTATCGAAGATTGCCTTGGCTCCCTCTCCTTACTTAGCTCCCTGTATCATCCCAACCATTGCCCACTTCTTGCTGAGCCTGAATCCTTTGATTCGCTCACAAACCTGGATCTGCTGTGCCAGTTTCATAAAGGGCGCCAAGTAGGACGACTTGGCAAGGTGCAGGATGGATTCAACGTGCTTCACTCCCTTCTTCACCAGCTGCTTACTGATGCCAGACAGGTCCATGCATCGGTTGCGCCAGAACTCAATCTCCTCCAGAGGACCTAAATTTTCTCCTGTCTCCACAGTCTCCTGGGCACTGAGCATCTCCTTTATCTGCCGGGTCCAGTGGATCATGGAGGCTGCAGGGGAGAGTACAAAATCTCCTTCGTTTCTTCACACTGCTTCCCAACAGCATCCTTCACTCCCCGCAACCCCGACAGAGACCTCCTAACCCAACTCCATTGTCAGCATCCGAGCCTCCCCTTTCCCTCTCCCCTGTGATCGCCAGGTGATGCTAGCAGTGCCAGCCACTCACTCTCTAGCCGTTGCACCAGCTCTTTGTCCTTTATCACCATCTCAGGCTTCATGTTCATGGCCTCTGCAGGGATGTAGAGGACCGTGTGCCCCTCCAGTTTGTACCGAGTGTCTAAGGAAAGGAAAGTTTGTGGAAGTGGACAGAGGGGATGAGTTCTTGCTGGCCCCGTAGGAATCACGGTTGATGATCGGTAGGGGACCAGGAAGCATATGCATTTCAGGAGAGCAGGTAGAAGAAATGGTGACTCATGCTTTTTTGATATCAAGAAATGACCAAAGGCAAGAGGGAAACCTCATGGAGTTATAACAAGAAATTGCCATAAAATAAGGTCAAAGATCTGTATCGCGCCTTCAACACTCTCTACCACGAGACATGTGAGTCCTCCCAGTGTCCCCACAGCACCTATATTTCCCTTTCCCCCACATGTGCTTTTAGAAATTTCCAAGTCTAAGTTGAAGCAGGTCTGGCCAACAAGTTCCACAACAGAAAAGTGTGTCTGGATTAGAAAGCGGATCTTGGCAGGGTGTGGTGGCTCACACCTGTAATCCCAGCACTTTGGGCGGCCAAGGCGGGTGGATCATGAGGTCAGGAGTTCGAGACCAGCCTGGCCAACATGGTGAAACCCCATCTCTACTAAAGATACAAAAAATTAGCCAGGCGTGGTGGCATGTGCCTGTAATCCCAGCTACTCGAGAGTCTGAGGCAGGAGAATTGCTTGAACCCAGGAGGCAGAGGTTGCAGTGAGCCAAGATCGCGCCATTGCACTCCAGCCTGGGCAACAGGGTGAGACTCCATCTCAAAAAAAAAAAAAAAAAAAAGAAGAAGAAGGCGGATCTTGTACCCTATTCTACCAATTCGATAAGCATGCTGAATACTTCCTCCTCCACACAGGTGCTCAGACGAAGGACCCACCACTTCACTAGTTGTACAGTTGGGGGACACTAAGGAGAAACTAGTCACTCCGGTCTTCCCACTTACCTGTCAGGCAGGCCAAGAACTTGTGCAGATGAGAAGCAAAATGATTTCTAATGCTCTCAGGCCAGCCTGTGTTTGCAAAGATCTGAGGGGCAAAGACTCCACCGAGCAGCCGAAGCAGGGCCGGGATATAGGGGCCCCGCACCGTCCCAAACTGCACAGTTGCCTCGAAGTTCTCCCAGGTGATGGGAACTGGTGCTTGGCGAATGAAGTAGACAAGCTGGTTCTGGGTCTGCATGGAAGACAGCAGATCAGAGTTCAGTCTCCAGGCCCAGCCATGACACCCAGTCACAAAAGCCCGGCTGAGTTCTTTCTCACGTCCCTCAGGGTATCCTGATCCTTCTCTAAATGGAAGTGCCATGAAGTGCTTCCTGTTCTTTTCACGGATATGATTCCATATCCAGAGATGTGGGGAGGAAATGCAGAGAGTATGCCTTGAGAGTAGGGACTGTACATTTTGTCCAACTAGGCTCCAGAACCTAGTACACTGCCTGGCATAGAGTAGATGCTCAATAATGTTTGTTGGATGGATGAACGGATCGATAGAAAGAAAGGATGGAATGGAGGAAGCACTTCAGCCAATGGAAAAAGCAGAAAGGAGAAGGACTGGAAGGAAGAGACAATTGTCTAGGGTTTTCCATTTTGGTTGCATATATTTCTCCCAAAATTTTACACATATGCTTCAATTTTGCTTATGGCTTTTGTGGTTTACGTACAAAAGCATATATCTTTCATGTAATTAAATATAAAATTCCTTAAAGTTCTGACTGCTACATATTTAGAAAGGCCATTTCCACCCTAATATCAGACTCACCTGTTTCGTTTGGGTTTTTTAGTGCTTTTTTGACTAGTCTTGGCAATTTTTTTTTTTTTTTTTTTTTTTTGAGATGGAGTCTTGCTTTGTCACTCAGGCTGGAGTGCAATGGTGCAATCTCAGCTCACTGCAATCTCCGCCCCCCGGGTTCAAGCGATTCTTCTGCCTCAGCCTCCCGAGTATCTGGGATTACAGGCCCGTACCACCACACCTGGCTAATTTATATATTTTTAGTAGAGACGGGGTTTCACCAGGTTGGCCAGGCTGGTCTCAAACTCCTGACCTCAGATGATCCATCTGCCTCGGCCTCCCAAAGCGCTGGGATTACAAGCGCGAGCCACCATACCCGGCTGACAATTTATTTAATTTTAAAAACAAAGTAAAGCACAAGGAAGAAATTAATAATCATCTGTCTTCTTACTACCCAGAAATAAAATAAATATTGGCATTTTGTGTCCTTTTTTTTTTTTTTTTTGAGACGAAGTTTCGCTGTTGTTGCCCAGGCTGGAACGCGATGGCATGATCTCAGCTCACCACAACTTCCGCCTCCCGGGTTCAAGCGATTCTCCTGCCTCAGCCTCCCGAGTAGCTAGGATTACAAGCATGTGCCACCACGCCCGGCTAATTTTTGTATTTTTAGTAGAAACAGGGTTTCTCCATGTTGGTCAGGCTGGTCTCAAACTCCTGACCTTAGGTGATCCGCCTGCCTCGGCCTCCCAAAGTGCTAGGATTATAGGCGTGAGCCACTGTGCCCGGCCATGTCCATTTTTTTAAAAGTTTAACAACTATTATTTTTGTGAAGATGACATACGTTAAATATAAATAATTGAAACAATGCAGAAAACTACAAAGATAAAAGTTAAAATGTCATCTAAAATTCCACCACCTAAAAATTAATATTGTTAATATTAGAGAAAACATTATTCTACATATTTTTCTATAGCTATATACATATAGAAAATTAAATTAAAATCATTATTTTTAAATAGGAGCAAGCTGTTTTTAATTAAAACTATTAAATTTAATTTTACTTGAATTTAAGCAAATAAAAAGAAATAGAAGTAGCTATAAAGGAATTCCTGAGCTTCAAATAAATGTTTCTTCATCCAGAAGAGAGGTTTCTTCCCAAAGGATCCCTTTCTATGGTGGTAAGAAAAAAAGATTATGAAAAATATTATGAGTTTTCTCACTAACTTTCAATTTTGAGTTCTATTAGCTCACTGCTTTGAAAGACCCAATCCAGAATCTAATCCAAGATCACACATGGTCATGTCTCTTAGTATCCTTTAATTTTAAAGCACTCCCCAACCTTTTTCTTTCATGGCATTGATTTTCTTTTTCTTTTTAATTTAATTTAATTTAATTTAATTAATTTATTTATTTATCTGAGACACAGTCTCACTCTGTTGCCCAGGCTTGAGTGCAATGGCGTGATCTTGGCTCACTGCAACCTCTGCCTCCCTGGTTCAAGCGATTCTCCTGCCTCAGCCTCCCAAGTAGCTGGGATTACAGGTGCACACCGCCACGCCCAGCTAATTTTTTTTGTATTTTTAGTAGAGACAGGGTTTCACTATGTTGCCCAGGCTGGTCTTAAACTCCTGAGCTCAGGCAATCCACCCGCCTTGGCCTCCCAAAGTGCTAGGATTACAGGCGTGAGCCACCGTGCCCAGCTCATGCTTTTTAAATTTTAAATTTTTTTTTTTTGAGACAGACTCTCGCTCTGTCACCCAGGCTGGAGTGCAGTGGCACAATCTTGGCTTGCTGCAATCTCCGCCTCCCGGGTTCAAGCGATTGTCTCATGGCATTGATATTTCTAATAGTCCAGGCCAGTTTTCTTTTCCCAATATGTCTCTTAATTTGGATTTATTGGATTGTCTCCTTATTGCCAGATTCAAGTTAAATATTCTTAGCAGGATTACCGCATAGGGGATATTCCTAAGGAATTAATTTTTCCTACAATTGAGTAGCTTAGCCAAGATGTGCAACAAATTTTGTGGAATACAGTGTGTCCTTTTTGATTCCCAGATTCAGTTCCTTCTGCATTTCAGGGAAATTACTTGTATTTTATCTTTACATTTATATTGTTTCATTTGTTGGCTCTCTATACAAGATCATCTATGTTAGTCTTTCGTATCTGTTAGCTTCTCTAATTGTGTTAATGTCCTTGGCTTTTTCTTCTGCATACACGGTGATTACCTCAAGCCTCTCCTCTGTCAGTGATAGGATTTTCTGGGTTAGCTATTCAGTTCCTTGCTATTTCCAATCTACTGGTTTTATAACATGCTGCTTTATTCATTTCCTAAAATCTGCAGTCTCCCTTTTATCTTATTCTCACATTTTATCATTTCAGGGCTCAGCTTTTTTTTTTTTTTTTAATTGAATCCCTGGTCTTATTAAGTTGTGGTAGAACATGGTACTGTTGTGAGGAATCTCCTCCTGTTCATTCAGTTATGTTTTCCTCTTTTGCATGCTTTGTTCCTCTTTTTTCTTTGATGTAATGCACTTGCAGTTACCATGCAATTTCTTTTCATTTTGCTCGTGCTTGGGCAGCAAGCATGTGAACTCATTCTTTTTGCTCTAATGTACTGTGGGTGATTTGACCTCCCACTGTGAGAGACCAGTTTATTTTTGCCCCTGGAAGTTAAAGTGAAAGGGTTGGGTGTTTTATGTTTTATTCACTTTTCTTTGGCCTAAGAGAATTGCCTCAGGGAAATGGACAGGTGGTTAGTGCTCATTTAAGGCAGTGAAAAATCTTTGTTAAAACACCTCGGCTCAAGCCGGGTGTGGTGGCTCACACCTGTAATCCCAGCACTTTCGGAGGCCGAGGCAGGTGGATCACCTGAGGTTGGGAGTTTGAGACCAGCCTGACCAACATGGAGAAACCCCATCTCTACTAAAAATACAAAATTAGCCTGGTGTGGTGGTACATGCCTGTAATCCCATATACTCGGGAGGCTGAGGCAGGAGAATCGCTTGAACCCAGAAGGCAGAGGTTGCAGTGAGCCGAGATTGCGCCATTGCACTCCAGGCTGGGCAACAAGAGCAAAACTCCGTCTCAAAACAAACAAACAAACAAACCTAGGCTCCTCCTCTCTCTCTCTCTCTTTTTTTTTTTTTCTTTTTGGAGATGGCGGTCTTGCTATGTTGCCCAGGATTGATTCGAACTCCTGGGCTCAAGTAATCCTTTGGCTTCAGCCTCCACAGTAGCTGGGACTAAAGGCACAGGCCTGTCTTTCTCTTTACTAAGATTTTATTACACCCTCTCAAGTTCACTCCATGTAACCAGGGGAGCACCATTCTTTGACTCAGTGCATATGTTTTTCATTGGTCTCCCATTTTTAAAGTGTATTAGATTAAATTTGCTTACTCTCAGGGTTTTTTTGTGTTTTTTTGGTTGGTTTGGTTTTTTTAATTTTTCGGTAGTTTTACTTTTTGCTCATTTTATCAGGTATTCAAGGGTAATAATTTTTAAAGGAAGTTTCAACTGGCCCTTTTGTTTTTTGTTTTTGTATTTTTTTTTGAGACAGGGTCTCACTCTGTCACCCAGGCTGGAGTGCAGTGAAGTGATCACACCTCACTGCAACCTCCACCTCCCAGGCTCAAGTGATCCTCCCACCTCAGCCTCCCAAGTAGCTGGGACTACAGGTGTGCACCATCATGCCTGGCTAATTTTTGTGTTTTTTGTAGAGATGGGGTTGCACTATGTTACCCAGGCTGGTCTCGAACTCCTAGGCTCAAGCGATCAGCCTGCCTCGGCCTCCCGAAGTGCTAGGATTACAGGCATGAGCCAAATATGATACTTTTTTATATAAAATGATCTTTATGATATTAAGATTCCTACTCCGAAACAAGCTGTGGCTCCTCATTTCTTCAAATCGTTTTTCACGGCCTGCAACAAAGTTGTTTTCCTTCATATAAATCATACTTTTATATTAAAATGTATATTCAAATATAAATATATTTTGCAAATTGTGGTTCCTTTTGCGAATGAAATCTTTTTTCATTGTTTTGTGGCTGATTACTGCCAGTGCACAGGGCAAAAGTTCTTCTGCCCATGTTCAACGCAGAATGCTTCACAAATTGCGTCATTGTTTCACAGGGCCATGCCAATCAATCTCATCCTTTCCACTTTTGTATATGTGCCGCCAATATGAGCAAAGCAACAGCCTTTTAAGTTTTCCAACATTTTTTTTCCAAAATTTTCAAAGATATATACAGAAAAGTTCAAAGAATTTTACAGTGATGACCTGTATGACCACCACCCAGATTCTACCAGCAACATTTTACTATCCATCTGTCTTTTAACTGTCTCCCTACCCTAGGTCTACCCTTGTCTAATGTATTCTCCACACTGTTGAAATAGTTATCTATCTAAACTATAAAAGACTTCAATAGCACTCTCTGGGATAGCGGCCAAATTCTCGAGTATAATATACAAGGCCCTTCATAAGCTGACCCCAAGCCCCTTTCAGTATCACTTCCCACTACTTCTCTTTTCTTTGTACGTAGAGTGGTCTTTGCTGAATAGCTCTTACCTAGTCTTGATGGAATCCCACTTACCCTTCATCCCAGCTCAAATAGCACCTCCACCATCAAGGCTTCCCAGAATTCCACTGGCTCCATTAGTTGCTCCCATAACGCTCCTATAAAGCTTTGCCCATGATCACAAACTATAGTAAATATTTGCTTATATGTCTGTCTTCCCCACTAGACCAGGACAACATTCTTTTTTTTTTTTTTTTTTTTTTTTGAGACAGAGTCTTTCTCTGTCACCAGGCTGGAGTGCAGTGGCATGATCTTGGCTCACTGAAACCTCCGCCTCCCAGGTTCAAGCGATTCTTCTGCCTCAGCCTCCCAAGTAGCTGGGATTACAGGTGTGCACCACCACGTCTGGCTAATTTTTGTATTTTTAGTAGAGATGGGGTTTCACCATGTTGGCCAGGATGTTCCCGATCTCCTGACCTCATGATCCGCCCACCCGCCTCGGCCTCCCAAAGTGATGGGATTACAGGCGTGAGCCACCGCGCCCAGCCCATGACAGCGTTCTTGCGTCATCCTTCTTCCTATCCTTGCCACCAAGTAGGGTGCCTGACACAGTGGGGCTCAATAGGCCGTGGGCACAGGAGATGACAAGACTTAAGGATGATGAAGGAACTGAGAGCCCTCGGCTCTCTGTAGGACCACCTTTGATCTGGGAATGTAGGGTACGCACCTGTACAGGCATGCCCAGCTCTAGCTTCAGCCCAAAACAAGGGTCAATGAAGATGGTGAGGATGGATTCTGTAGGGTCCTGGGCAAAGTGTTCCAGAATGGCATCATGCTCCTGTGTCCACACTGCATCCGCCAGTCCTGTCAGCGCAGCTCGGGAAAGGAAGAGGGGCTTCTACAGAAGGAGAGCAGAGGGCCAAAGTAACTACAACTGCCAGGATGAGTCATTCCTCCCATCCACAATCACAAGTGAGGACATGGGAGATGAGAGAAGCCAGACAGGTTCAGAATGGTTAGGAGAAACTGAAAGATAGCTTTCCAGCTTTGGAAGAAACAGAAAAATAAGATTTCTTGCCTCTAAGAGTAATAAAACAAACAAACAAACAAACAAACAGATCACAGAGGAAAACTGGGATATTATCCACCCAATGCAAGAGATTATCTTTATGCCTGTAGTTTTTAAAAATGTCAGCCCTCGATCTCAAAGGTAAAGGTGAATTAAGGGAATGTGTAGGATATTAGCCTAGATCAAGCAATTAGGAGCAGGGAGACCACAAGCTGGAAAAGGGAGAGGGTATAGGAGCAATTTCTTCACGATGGAGTCCAAAAGAAGTGTAAAATACTAGGTAAAAGTCAATTGGTACAACATTAAGGAAAAAGTGAGGAGGGAAAAAGACACAAAAACACCAAAGAGGGCTGGGCGCGGTGGCTCACATCTATAATCCCAGCACTTTGGGAGGCCGAGGCAAGTGGATCACCTGAGGTCGGGAGTTCGAGACCAGCCTGACCAACATGGAGAAACCTTGTCTCTACTAAAAATACAAAATTAGCCGGGCGTGGTGGTGCATGCCTGTAATCCCAGCTACTCGGGAAGCTGCGGCAGGAGAATCGCTTGAACCCAGGAGTCAGAGATTGCAGTGAGCCGAGATCACACCCCTGCACTCCAGCCTGGGTAACAGAGTGAGAATCTGTCTCAAAAAAAAAAAAAATTAGCTGGGTATGGTGGCTCATGCCTGTAATCCTAGCGCTTTGGGAGGCCAAGGCGGGTGGATCACCTGAGGTCAGGCATTCAAGACCAGCCTGGCCAACATGGTGAAACCCCATCTCTACTAAAAATACAAAAATCAGCCAGGCATGGTGGTGGGTTCCTGTAATCCCAGCTACTTGGGAGGCTGAGGTAGGACAATTTCTTGAACCCGGGAGGCAGAGGTTGCAGTGACCCGAGATTGCACCACTGCCCTCCAGCCTGGGCGACAGAGCAAGACTCCGTCTCAAAAATAAATAAACAAACAAATAAATAAAGGAAATCAGAAGATATGAAGATACAGATCAGTGAACTTGCGAAGTCTTTTCATCTTTCCTCCTGGAAGAAGGAATCTCTCTTAAAGTTTCCAGGTCAAGAAAAATTAATAGTGATCTAAAATCTTTCCTATAATACATATAGACAGGATGAACCAATAAGAAAAACACTAAAAACTCAATAAACAAATAGACAAAAGGACCTGCATAGATATGTCATTTTTAAAAATGCAAATATAAAAAAAAATTGGCCAGGCGTGGTGGCTCATGCCTGTAATCCCAACATTTCAGGAGGCCGGAGTGGGGGTGGGGGGTGGGGGCGAATCACAGGGTCAGGAGTTCAAGACCAGCCTGGCCAACATGGTGAAACCCTGCCTCTACTAAAAAAAATACAAAAATCAGCCGGGCATGGTGGCATGCACCTGTAATCCCAGCTACTCGGGAGGCTGAGGCAGGAGAATTGCTTGAGCCCGGGAGGCGGAGGTTGCAGTGAGCTGAGATCGCGCCACTGCACTCCAACCTGGGTAACAGAGCAAGACTCTGTCTCAAAAAGAAAATATATATATATATATTCACTTGAAGTCAAATACAAATAAAATAACAAAGAAGGCCAGGCACAGTGGCTCACACCTGTAATCCCAGCACTTTGGGAGGCCGAGGTAGGCGGATCACCAGAGGTCAGGAGTTCAAGACCAGCCTGGCCAACATGATGAAACCCCGTCTCTACTAAAAATACAAAAATGACCCCAGCATGGTGGCGTGTGCCTGTAATCCCAGCTACTCAGGAGGCCGAGACATGAGAATCACTTGAGCCTGGGAGGCGGAGATTGCAGTGAGCCCAGATCGTGCCACTGCACTCCAGCCTGGGCAACAGACCAAGACTCTGTCTCAAAAAATAATAATAATACAAATAAAATGTTTTGTGAAAAGGTTTAATACAAAATCATAACATATGGGCTAGGCACGGTGGCTGACACCTGTAATCCTAGCACTTTGGGAGGCCGAGGCAGGTGGATCAGCTGAAGTCAGGAGTTTGAGGCCAGCCTGGCCGATATGACAAAACCCCGCCTCTACTAAAAATACAAAAATTAGCTGGGCGTGGTGGTGCATGCCTGTAATCCCAGCTACTTGGGAGGCTAAGGAGGGAGAATCACTTGAACCCCAGAGGTGGAGACTGCAGTAAGCCAAGATCATGCCACTGCACTCCAGCCTGCTCGACGGAAGCAAGACTCCATCTCAGAAAAAAAAAAAAAAAGTAACATATGATAAAGTTAGGATTATACAAAAACAAACAAACTTACAAACCTGTGCACAAAAGTAAAAGATATATCAAAATATTGTTTTTTTGTTTTTTTGGGTTTTGTTTGTTCGTTTGTTTTGAGACAGAGTTTTGCTCTTATTGCCCAGACTGGAGTACAGTGGCACGATCTTGGCTCACTGCAACCTCTGCCCTCGGGTTCAAGCAATTCTCCTGTCTCAGCCTGGCGAGTAGCTGGGATTACAGGCATCCGCCACCACACCCTGCTAATTTTTGTATTTTTAGTAAAGATGGGGTTTCACTATGTTGGCCAGGCTGGTCTCAAATCCTGACCTCAGGTGATCCACCCACCTCGGCATCCTAAAGTGCGGGATTACAGGCTTGAGCCACCGTGTCTGGCCAGACATATCAAATATTAATATTAAATGTGTTTGGGCAGTAACACCATGAGTCTTATTTTCTCTATTTTACTTTTCTGTCTCTTGCCATTTTTTTCTTCGATAGTTATTACTTTTCTTTCCCTTTTTGAAAAATGTCAAGGTCATCACTCTATTCTTCTCACCCAGGTAACTATGGTCATGACTAGGCTTTGATGCAACTTGGAAATAAAGAAGCAGAGGTCATTTAGTGCCATTTCTCAAAGTGACTGAAGCAGCTTCTGTAAATTCTTCAGCCAAAGGAAAGAACTGAAGGAAAGGTGGAAAGAGCATGTCTTAGAAATTAGTATCCAATTAGGACAATATCTTCCCAGCTCATTCAACTTGTTCAGGTGTTCACCCGCATGATGAATAAGCTCATCACAGTTTGACCCAAGGTGGGGAGACAAGAGAGACCTGCGCCTTACTTAAAGCCCTCCTCTGTCCTGGCGAAGGCACAGATGACTTTGTCTTTTACTCAGTGAACTGGATTTGTGGTGAGTAGGCTAACAGCAGAGAGCAAGTAGAAGAAGTGGCAGACAAGAGAGAATTCCTCATGTGCCATCCACAACTGATCCTTTGATTCACCAGTTTTGGGGGAGGAATATCTGCCACAGGGAAGACCCAAGCCTACCACATCTGCCTCGGGCTCCACTGATTCTTCACTCTGTGCTTGAGGTCCCTCCAACCGTGGCTCTAGGAAGAATAAACATACAAAAAGGAAGGCATTTCTTGGAAAGTTAAACACAGTCAGCTGGGCGCGGTGGCTCACACCTGTAGTCCTAGCACTTTGGGAGTACTAGGCGGGAGGATCACCTGAGGTCAGGAGTTTGAGACCAGCCTGGCCAATATAGTGAAACCCCGTCTCTACTAAAAATACAAAATTAGCCAGGTGTGGTGGCGGGTGTCTGTAATTCCAGCTACTTGGGAGGCTGAGGCAGGAGAATCACCTGAACCCAGGAGGCAGAGGTTGCAGTGAGCCATAATCGTGCCACTGCCCTCCAGCCTGAGTGACAGAGTGAGACCCTGTCTCAAAAAAAAAAAAAAAAAAAAAAGCCGGGTACAGTGGCTCACACCTGTAATCCCAGCACTTTGGGAGGCCAAGGCGGGCGGATCATGAGGTCAGGAGATCAAGACCATCCTGACTAATACGGTGAAACCCCGTCTCTACTAAAAAATACAAAAAATTAGCCAGATGTGCTGGTGGGAGCCTGTAGTCCCAGCTACTCTGGAGGCTGAGGCAGGAGAATGGCGTGAACCTGGGAGGCGGAGCTTGTAGTGAGCCGAGATTGCGCCACTGCACTCCAGCCTGGGCAACAGAGCGAAGACTCTGTCTCAAAAAAAAAAAAAAAAAAAAAAGGAAAGAAAAGAAAAGAAAGAAAAGAAAGAAAGCTAAACACAGCCACCCAATGACCCAGCAATTCCACTTCTAGGTAGAGACCTTGAAAGCAAGGACTCAAAGAGAGATTTGCATTACAGCATTCGTAGCAGCATTATTCACAATAGGCAAAAGGTGGCAACAGCTCAGTGTCTTCTAACAGAGGAATGGATAAACAAAAGGTGATATAAACATGCAGTGGGCTATTATTCAGCCATCAGAAGGCATGGCGGTGTGGTTCATGCTACAACATGGATGATCCTCGAAAACACAGTGCCAAGTGAAAAAAGCCAGTCATGAGAGACCACTCGATGAAATGTCCAGCATAGGCAAATCCATAAAGACAGAAAATAGATGAGCGGTTCCTGGGATCTGCGGGGGAAGGGGGAATCAGGAGTGACTGCTAAAAGACGAGGCTCTGATGCAACTTACAAGTAAAGATATAGGAGTCACCTGGTGCCAATTTCTCAAGGTGCTTAAAGTGGCTTTCTTTTGGCGGGATAAAAATGTTCTAAAATTAGATAGTGGGAACGTTGCACAGCTTTGTGAATATACCAAAAACCACTGAACTGTAGACTTTAAAAAGGTAAATTTTAGAGTCAGTGAATTCTCTGTCAATTTAATGTAAAAAGCTGACTGGGGGCCGGGCACGATGGCTCATACCTGTAATCCCAGCACTTTGGGAGGCTGAGGCTGGTGGATCGCCCGAAGTCAGGCGTTCGAGACCAGCCTGGCCAAGATGGTGAACCCCCCCCCCCGTCTCTATAAAAATACAAAAAATTAGCCAGGCATGGTGGCGGGTGCCTGTAATTCCAGCTACTCGGGAGGCTGAGGCAGGAGGATTGCTTGAATCCGGGAGGCAGAGGTCGCAGTGAGCCGAGATCACGCCATTGCACTCCAGCCTGGGTGACAGGGCAAGATTCTGTCTCCAAAAAATAAAAATAAAACAAACACTAACTGGGGTAGGGGTGAGGGAATGAAGGCGGTTAGTACTGAGGTTATTCCAGGCATACAGCTTCTGGCCCTCCATCTTCCCCCACTCCTCTTCCCACATGGAGAAGTTGGGGCTCATAGGAATCAGCCCTTCTCCAAACCACTGGCCTGCTGAGCATTCAGTTCTGCCACACCCACTCTGACTCCCATAAAACCCAGCGGCTCTGTTTCTCTGCCTCCTGATCTACTAGTCACACAGGAGATTGGAGTAAAACTGGTGGCTTTCCCATTCCCCAGGGGCTGAAAGGAGGAAGGAACAAATGAGATATAACCAAAAGACCATGAGGAACAGGAAACTCCCTCTGGCTTCCAGAAAGGAAAACTAAGAGGGGAATGAGGCACAGAGGCCGAGGCAGGAAGGCGTGAAAAGATGGAACAGGCGATTCCGGAGCTTAGTAGTAGGTGAGTAGGTGAGATGATCCAACTCCCTTGGGAAAACTGCTGGCATTCAGGTTCCAGGCAAGAACTAGGCCAGGGGAGACTGGGTGCGGTGGCTCACGCCTGTAATCCCAGCACTTTGGGAGGCCGAGGCAGGTGGATCACTCGAGGACAGGAGTTCGAGACCAGCCTGGGCAACATGGTGAAACCCCATCTCTACTAAAAATACAAAAATTAGCCGGGTGTGGTGGCACACGCCTGTAATCCCAGCTACTCAGGAGGCTGAGGCAGGAGAATCGCTTGAACCCAGGAGGTGGAGGTTGCAGTGAACTGAGATCGCACCACTGCACTCTAGCCTTGGCAACTGAGAGAGACTCTGTCTCAAAAAAATAAAAAAAATAAGCTGGGCATGGTGGTGTATGCCTGTAATCCCAGCTACTTGGGAGGCTGAGGCACAAGAATCACTTGAGCCCGGGAGGCAGAGGTTGCAGTGAGCTGAGATTATGCCAATGCACTCCAGGCTGGGAGACAGAGTGAGAATTTGTCTCAAAAAAAAAAAAAAAAAAAAAAGAAAGAAAGAAAAGAAAGCTTGGAGCTGGGAGAGGCAGAAATCCTTGCTGTTCGAAGGCCAACACATTCATTTTAAAGCTCCTTCCCTTACCTCCCCAGAGGATTCTCCATACTGAACCTCACTGTCTTCCCTCCCATCTTCCCCTACTCCTCCTAGCAGCGAGCAATCCCATTTTAACTGCTTTCACCTGAGCACTTCAGAACTCAGAAGGATACATTCTGCACATTTCTAAGATCCTGGAACCTAATGCAAGTTCTTATGGCCCAGGGACTTTTCTCCCATGCCCACGCTTAACCTCTCAACCTTTAATTTTAGAAGGGGATTCTATTTCACAAGCTACTATCAGTGTAAAGGAGCTCCAGGTAAAGAAGGAGGTCTACACTTAGCTCATAGTCCTGTCTACACTGACCAGTGCTCTCAGGGAGATCCCAGCAATAGCAACAACTACCAAAAACCTTCCAACCTTACTGGCTCCGGCTCACCCACAGGAAAGGAATCCCTCAGGTCAAAGCCACAAGAGGCTGCCTCGTTAAACTCTTTCCTCCCTAGATCTAGACTTCTTTCCTGTCATCCTGAACCTGAACCTCCGCAGTCTACCAAGTCCCTGCCAAAATGAGGGCGGAGATAGAACAGCCCTCAACAGATGGTAGAAAGCATCAGCCGGGCTTTGGATTCAAAGGGTGGCAAAACAGGCTGAGTCTCCATGGTGATGGGCTTAATGGGAGAAAAACATTATTTGTTTTGCCACCCAGGGTGAAAATGGGAAAAAGGAAGAGATCAAACCCTCTTCAGTGGGGTAGGAGCAACCAGGAACACTTGAAATAAGGAGGAAGAGGCTAGAGAAAGGACTGGTTGGTGAACTCCTGGTATATTGTGGGAAATTTTAAGACAGAAAGAACAAGGATGAGGCTGGCCAGGAGGAAGACATACAAAAAAAGGACTCAGTGGCAGGGCTGCTGAACCTCCATGGCTGGGGGCGTCACTTAGCCCGTTTCCTGCCCAGAAGCAACAGCGCCTGCTCCCCAGCCCTAAAATGCCTCCAAGCCCCTCTGACTTTCCCCACCCTCCATTGCTAAGCATCCTCTGCCCCAGCAAGTACCCACCAGGCTCCTCCTTGGGGAGCTCAGCCTGCAGCTCTGGCTCACTGACAGCCGGGGCATTCCCCTGCTCCTGTGTGGCCACAGCAGCCCGAGTGGCCCGCCCTGACCAGCTTGCCTGGGAGCTTCCTCGGCCACTCAATCGCTGCTTCTTCTCAGCTTTGCTGGACATCGTGCAGGCAAAACCTACAGGTATACAGGAGTGGAGAGTCTACAAGCAGATACCACCCCTGAACCAGCCCCCTGATACAAGCAGTCCCTTTTGAATTCATAAATTGACTGAAACTCAATATGATCATCTTTTCTGGTGGTACCCACACCCTGCTCCATTAACCACAAGGGCTCTGTACTCCACAGGGGCCTGGGAGGCCTTGCTGTTTTTCCCTAGGATATCCTACTGTCTTCGGGGCACTGGGCTAAAAATCAAAGTCAGTCCCTCAAGGCACTAGGAACAAATGGGAGTTAAAGATGATGGCCAGGCTGGGTGCGGTGGCTCATGCTTGTAATCCCAGCATTTTGGGAGGCCGAGCCGGGTGGATCACCTGAGGTCAGGAGTTCGAGACCAGCCTGGCCAACATGGCAAAACCCCGTCTCTACTAAAAATACAAAAAATTAGCCAGGAGTGGTGGTGCGTGCCTGTAATTCCAGCTACTCGGGAGGCTGAGGCAGGAGAATCTCTTGAACCCGAGAGGTAGAGGCTGCAGTGAGCCAAGATCATGCTACTATACTCCAGCCTGGCTGACAGAGTGAGACTCTATCTCAAAAAAAAAAAAAAAAAAGATGGCCAGACACCCCACTAATGAGGATTTAGAACCTCTATCTCTGCCCCGGGGTATGAGAACATAAGATAATCAGGAAAAGATCTATCAAGCTGAAGTGTGGTTGCCCAAACCCTCATCCACTCTACCCTCCAGGACCATGAGTGAGTGAGAGAGGATCAAGGAAGGGGTGCACATCCCCCATCCTTTGTCACTGTTCAATCATTCAAGCAAACCAAGATGATTTTCCTATGTACCTCTTTTCCTCCCAAGTTAAATGGAAATATGCTCCTCCCAATCCCACTAAAATCTGCAACATCTGTAAACAGAGAAAAACAGTATTTGCCACCTGGGTCTATCGCTTTGAAGTCCTGAGGGGCAGGAACACTGTTTTGTGTGTACTGAGGTCTCTTAGCAGAGTTGGCTGAGGAACTCTGTGCTAATGGTTAAGATCAGTCAGGATCATTTATTTGACTCAAAATGCCCTGAGAACAGATTGGAAGAAAGAAGGACAAAAGTCATCCAATCATAAATTTCAAATTGTGTCATGAGGAAAAAGCAATTGGGGCACGAGGAAGGTCACAGTGGTGCCTCTCTCAGAAAGGTAGGATGGCAGGAAGCGGGGATCTCGGACAGGTGCTCAGAATCCCAGGCGCAAAGTCTGAGGCGCTGGGCACTCTCTTTTCATTAGGCTGCAGCCTAACGGCACCTGTGGCTCTCCTTCCTCATCCCCACAGGCTGCCACAGGCATTGATCTCAGGTTATGAATTTCAAACTTGAAGGATTTGTACTTTGCTCCAAGGAAAAACGTTCTGTTAGGCCAGCAAATCAATAAAACCAACTACAGCAAGGAGGCTTCCTCCATCAGTCTCCAGAGAAGCATCAAGCTGCGCTTTCCTGCCTCAAACTAGAGCCTGAGGCGCATGCACCGTGGGGTTCACCACGCGATCCCACACCGCAGGCCCCAGGAGGAACTGCTCTGCTAAGTCGGGGCTCACTCTAGTACTAGGAAATACCGCAGGGGCCAGCAGTATTTATCCTGCAGTATAAATCCAGCAGTATTTATCCAGCAGTATTTATACCAGCAGCTGGTATCCTTAAACTGGTTACCAGCAGGCAAATTTCCCCTCAGAATGGCTCTTCCCCCCCAGCTGTCACAACTGCCCCTTCTCCTCCCCCTCCCCCACACAAATATTCCTTGCTCCCTCTCCCTCCACAACTGCCTCTTCTCCCCAACAACTGTCCCTTCCTACCCCGACACTACTGCCCCTTCTCCCCAGCACTCCTTCCCTCCTTCCCTCTGCCCCCGACACACACCTTGCCACGCTGACCCTCCCCTCCCTAGACCGACCGATGGGCCACTCTAAGAAGTTGCCCCTCGCAGCCCTCTCGGGCCGGCGTCTGCACGCGTCCCCATGGCAACCCCGGGCAGGGAGGGGCGAGTGGCCGGTGTGCGGCCCCTCGGAGCCCGCCTCCTCCGCGCAGGCGCCCTGGATCCCTGCTTCGCGGCCCCACCCCGCCCAGGTCTACCCCTCAGGGACCCAGGGCTTGAAGGCTCCGGGACTAAAGGAAAGTAGCCACATCTGGCGAGCCGAAGGGTGCGGGGGGCCTGGTGTCAGGACCCAGCTGGAAGGGCTGGGGCGAGAGACAGTGAGCCACCGCCCCGCAGGACATTGAAAAGGCAGGGAGAACCCAATCGCCCGACCCCGCGCCCAGGTCTGTGCGCCCCAGCCGGAACGGGTCCAGCAGATGGCGCCGGGCGCCAGGCCGGCGAGGGATATTCGCGATGTAGAAGGCGTTCCAGGATTTCCAGGCAGCCGTGGGTGCAGCTGGATCCGGGGGAAAAACCGGGCCTGGAGCACCCTTGCCCTCCTGCTCCTTCCCCCTTCTTAGTTCGGATTGGGGTCTAGGATTGCGGGGGGGCGGCGCGGGGCGGGGAAAGGGAGGGAAGACGGGAACTGGAGTTTTGGGAATCTGAGGATTGGCTTTCGAAGGCATCGCTGGTTTTTGGGGGGGATGAGAGGCGGGGACTCCCTGGGGAAGGTGACCGGGCCTGGGAGGGGCTTCGCTCTCCATAGGAACAAAGGCTGCGTCGTGAGAGAGGAGGCGAGAGGGGAGGGCTATGAGGGCCGGGGTACATCTCCGAGGGTGCCAGGGGGCGCTGCGGGCCGGGGCTGCTAGAAGGCGCCTGGAAGACCGCTGTACCTGGTGCCGGGAGGAGCTTTGGGGAGACCTGGGAAATACAGGGAGGAAGCCGAGTGGGGGGATGGGAAGGCGCCCTCCCTGTTTCCATCAATAGTGCCTAATTAAGACAAAGCCAGCAGCGAGCCCACTGATTACATTTCCATGAGGAGCGAAATTTATGACATTTTCTTTGCTGGATGAGGAGAAGAGAAGCTGGCACCTCAGTTCCCCCATTTTCTGTTTGGCGTTCACACCTAACAGATCTCATTATGCCAGCCTGGCACTACCAGGAGTGGCAGTCCCTGGTACTCCTGAAGAGCAAGTGGATTAACCACACCCTATCCCAGCGCTGACCTCACCCTCCCACCTACCGTATCTTTATTCCCAGAAGTGTCAACCCTTTCCCTCCCCCCGACCCCCAATAATTCCTCCTGCCCAGCCAGACTCCTGTTGCTGACAGCAGGAATGGAAGGAGAGGAGTACCGCCCACCCCAAAACCAGCTGCACAGCTAGCACAGCTAAGATGGAACGTGGAGGTGTTCCTCTAGCCAGATAGGCCATGGGTGGCAGACAGAGGTGATGTGGTTGGCCAGAACCCCTAGGGAAAAGTCCCAAAGGAGTGAAAATTTGCTGGAGGCGTGGGGTGGGGAGCCTCAGGGGCAAGGTTCATGGGTCCCTCGGGGAAAGGAACTTTGCACAGACCCCATTTCTTTTCTTAAACCCCCCTCCCCAACTGTGGCTGTGCCTACGGATCCCAGCCCCCCACATTATGCTAAATAGGTAATCAAACATCTCGCTTTGCTAATTACTGCTCAATCCGATTAAACGCTGCTGAAGCTCATCAACAGAGGTGGAGGTAGGGGGAAGGGACGAAGGCGGGGCAACCACAGCTAGCTATGATGGGGGTCTTTTCCCCAGGGGCTCTTCGGGGCTAGAGAAACAGCCAGGGTTGCAAGACCGTGTACATCCCAAAGGAAAGGGCAGAAGAGTTGTGACCTCGAGCCTCAGCCTTGCTGCACCTCCCAGCCACGGCCCTTTTCCTCCTCCCAGAACCTTCATTACCCTCCGAACCCAGGCATCCGGCCATTCCCACAGCTCCCCACACACATCCCTGTCCCAGATTTAATAAGTTCTGTTCCCTCATTGTCAATATTTGATTTCTCAGAGCCATCTCCACGGAGAGGGGGGTGGGGGATCTTTCCTTGCCTCCCCCCTACTTTGGCCCTCTTTTGCCCACCCCCAGTCTCTTTGTGCCCCCAACCTTCTCTGAACTTGCTGACTTAATGAAATGATATTAAAGTCTTAAGCAACTCCAAAAGAATGGTTGTTATGGTGAAGGGAGTGGGCAGGACGCCTGGGTCCCGGAGGGGAGCAAAGGCTGAGGAGGGGGAAAGGGAGCCAGAGGCTAAGGTCTAGAGACCCCAGTCCCTAGTGGGGAACAGCAGATTTGGGGTGAGCTGGGGGCCAGACCTCTGGATCTTGGCTGGAAGCAGGGGATGAGGACTGGGGGCTAGGAGAAGGTGGAAAGAGAGGTCCATTCCAGGGGTCAGGGTCTCGGCCTGCTGTCCGGATCATTCATCAGAGACAGAGGCCAGGGGAGACAGGGCCTCTATGCCAGCAGCCTCCCTGCCGGCTGTGCCCTGGGCTGGTCCCGTGAGAACCAGAGTAGATTACTCTACAGCCTGACTCATCCTTCTCCCCCAGCAGCCCCCCACAGGTGATTTGTAGCTGATGCCCCCACGATGGTAGGGGCCAGGATAGTCATTCCATGACATGAAGAACTGAGAGCTTCCAGGACAGAAGAGAACAGAGGCCAAGGGAAAGGAAGCCAAGCACCCCCCTTCACCTCCCCCCACCCATCCCCATCTCCCCTGGGGACCCTGGCCCAGCCCCAGTCCCCTTGGGGTGGTGGGAATGCAAGGACATTTGGCTGGGGCTGATTGATGAGGGAGGAGGCAGCCACCGGGCACTGAGGCTGCTGTTTGCTGAGCACACAGATTCCTCCCAACTCACCAGCTGCTACCCCCTGAAGCAGCTCAGTCTCCCCCCGACATCACCCCGCCAGCCACTGGGGTTGCGGTGCCTGAGTTTCTGATGGCAACTGGAGGAAGAGGGAGAACCAGAAAACTGAACACTTCGATTCCCTGTGGGAATTGGGGTACCTGGGGCCTGGTCCCCTCAGAACTCCCTTCAGAACTCCACTTTCCCTGCTACCTTTCAAGTAGCTCTCTGGCTGCCCAGTTGTCATTCCCATTCATTCTGTGTCCCTTTTCCTTCCCCCACCCAACTCTGAGCCTATGCCAGACAGCCTCCTGCCTCCAAACCACCGTGTGACATTTCTCCCAGGTCTCAAAACTCTCCCAAGCCCCATGTCCACGGTGGCCCATATAGCCCCTTAGGAAGGGCCATTTTTCATTCTAATTAAAATTCCAGATATGATGTCAACCATTCCGCATCAGAAATTCCCACTGCAAGGCCAGGCACAGTGGCTCACATCTGTAATTCCAGCACTTTGGGAAGCTGAGGTGGGTGGATCACCTGAGGTCGGGAGTTCAAGACCAGCCTGGCCAATGTGGTGAAACCCCATCTCTACTAAAAATACAAAAAATTAGCCGGGCGTGGTGGCACATGCCTGTAGTCCCAGCTACTCGGGAGGCTGAGGCACGAGAATTGCACCACTGCACTCCAGCCTGGGCCACAGAGCGAGACTGTCTCAAAAAAAAAAAAAAAGAAAAGAAAAAGAAAAGAAATTCCCACTGCCACTCCTTGCCCCATTCCCCTTTCCCTAAAAACCCCCAACACACACACACACACACACACACACACACGCACACACACACGCACCTCGGGCTGAATAGTATCCCTCAGCTGCCGTTATTTGGAAGGAGGGCAAAGCCTGAGCTTCACTCTACAGCTCAGCCCCAAGACAGCCTCAATCCTATGCGGTTTGGGGATGGCAGGGCGACAGCTCTAGCTTCTGTGGTCCCAGCCCTCTCGGTTCCTTTACTTCCGCTCTGCCTTCCTGCTCTGGACTCTGCCAGCAGCTGTGCCACAGCCCCCAAAAAAGCTCAGAGCATCATCCTTGCCCTCCCAGAGCTTAAAATTTAGACGAGGAAAACACAAGTCACAGACACACAAGAAACAAAAGGCAAGGGGATGGGAGACTGAGTGAGATCAACTTCCTTAATGTGGATCCAAGACCCTAAGTGACTTACTCCCCTCCAGGCCGAGGCTAGGGAAGAACAGGACACATCCGAAACATGCATGTGGTGGTGATGTCCTTCTTACTGTTCCCAAACACACCACAATCTCACCTCTGTGCCCGTGCACTTGCTGTTCCTCTGTCTAGCATGCCCGTCCCCAGTGTGCATGGCTTACTCCTGTCTCATGACTTAAGGTCCTGATCAAGGGCATCTCTTTCAAAGGGACCTTCCTGACCTCCTCATCTAAAGCAGCTCCAGGCCGGGTGCGGTGGCTCATGCCTGTCATCCCAGCACTTTGGGAGGCCAAGGTGGGCTGAGCACCTAAGGTCAGGAGTTCGAGACCAGCCTGGCCAACATGTTGAAACCCCGACCCTACTAAAAATACAAAACTTAGCTGGGCAAGGTGGCGGGCACCTGTTAATCCTAGCTACTTGGGAGGCTGAGGCAGGACAATCATCGCTTGAGCCCGGGAGGTGGAGGTTGCAGTTAGCCGAGATCGCGCCACTGCACTCCAGCCTGGGCAACAGAGCAAGATTCCATCTCAAAAATAAATAAATTAATAAATTAATAAATAAATAAAGCAGCTCCTGGTTACTCTCCATCCTCCTCATCCTGTCATTCTGTTTTGTTTATATCCCTTTTCACACCTGAAATTGTATTATTTCGTTCCCCACCTAAATGTGGACTTTGTGAAAGCGGGGACCTGGCCTTACTCACCCTGTCCTCCCAGCGCCTGAACCGGTGCCTGAAACAAAGTAGCATTTAACATGCTGCTGAGCGAGTGAACGAACAAACCAATGAACAAACAAATGTCTTCCTGTGCCTGTAGTCGTTTTGCTGTAGTTGTTTTGTTGCAGTTGTTACTCTAGGAATATGTGTGTGTATTTGTCCCCACAAAGCAAATAGGACGGCCTGTGTTATTCTGCGTGGAAGTCACCAGCATTTTCAAATAGCTCCAGACACCCAAGTCACTACACATGTGAAAGGCTGTTGGTCTTGTGCTATTCGAGCGGGGCTGCGGGGAGTCTCTGGATGCCAGCGCTCTGAGGGGGCGTGTCCCAGGCGCTGTGCAGTCTGTGCTGTTCCTCTCCCTGGCTGTGCATCTGTCCCCAGGTGTCTTCCTGTCTCTCAGCATGTTATGATGTCTTGGCTGCTTTGGCGAGGTGCTTGTCTGTCACGGAGACTATTTATCCCCACGTCTCTTCCCTCTTGTCTCTCCACCTGTGCCTCTAGATGTAGGTGGAGGGGGAGTCTCCCTGATCTCCCTTGCCCCTCACACACCACCCTGCCCCAGTCTTGGACCCCTCCCTTTCTCAGTGGGCCCTGTTGCTGGGCTCTGGGTTGCCATAGTGACGGTTGCCAAGTCCCTGAGGCTGATAGCCAGCGATGGGGCTGTCGGCTCCATCCACGCGGGAGGCTGAGGGGGGCTTCCCATTGTGTAGAGAAGGGGATGTTGCCATGACAACCAACCCCCACTAAGGGGCAAGGACCAGCCTTTCCACCCCCTACGAGCCTCCCCACTTCGGGCAGCTCCAGTGTGGGCTCAGAAGGCAAGAGTAAATTCCAGACAGCCCAGTACCTGGCCTCCCAGCTTTCAACTCCCCTCCTGCGGTGCCCGCACCTCTCAAGACCCAGGCATCTTGCTCAGACGGGGAGGGGGAGGAGCAGGGGTCCCACTGGACAGAAGAGAGGAAGAGGGACCCCTTGACCTCCAGACAGATGGGAGACAGCGGGAGGGGACCTAAAGTCAGGGGAGGGGCAGGGAGGGCAGAGGTTGTGACCCCTGCTGACTCGCTCCAGTGATGCTCCTGACGGCTGCTTTTGTGGTTGGAGAATGGGGCTAAGTCTAGGGGACTGGGCACCTGGGCTTTTTGGGGGAGAAGAGCCTCGGTTATGGGTATACAGGGAGCCAGGGCACACGCAGCTTGATGCCTGGGTCCCTCCCTGAGTCCTTCCTACTTCCTTCTGATCAGCCACATCCCTTCTCCCCATGAGTCCCCAACAGCAAAACTTCTCAAGTGCCTTGGGTAGGGATGGTAGGGAATAGACTTTAACATGTGAACATGTTTTTACCACTTTGATCCTAATTGCGTCTTACCCTGTCTCTGGTGCTTTGGCTTAGCAAGACACTCAGACTGTCCCCATGGATGAATTGGCGACCCCACTCCTGCCTGCATTACTCTCTCCCTCCCCTAGAGGTGACACCTTCCTCTGCCTTCTCGCCCAGCCCATTTTCGCCTCCCCAAGCACTGCCAACCTCACCACTCCAAACTAGCCCTATCCCTACCCACCCCCCTTGGTTGGTTTCATGCAATCCAACCCTCAGCTGAAAGCCATTCTAACCAAGCCTTTGTCCCAATTCAAGTCCAGTCATTCTCCAGCCTTCTTGTCAACTTTTGAAGTTTTTTATTTTTATTTTTTTTGGTTTTTGTTGTTCAAATTTCCCTTTTACAGTAAAACTACTGAGGTGACGGCATACCCCGCCACCATGGCAATATCAACTTCCTGTTCCCCAGAAGGAGCGATTAGAAAAATCAGGAAGGAGCTGGGAACTACAGCACCAGAGAGGTGAACTTGACCTCTGGTGGACAAAGCAACCATCTTGGCTGGTGATTGAGGTGGCCAACCTGGTGCCCAACAACAGCTTTGATCTAATAAAACTGAGCTGGGAGGAAACTGAGGCAACACCCAATTGCACACTAGAGGGCAGGAAGAGGTATCAGCTGGTCACTATGGAAACAGTGGCCTTTGCTAAGTACCACTGTCAGCTAGACCAGCCAGTAGGCCACCATTTTGGTCACTAAGAAGGGAACTGTGTTGAGTCTGAAAGGAGTCAGAAATGTAGGATGGAATGAACAAGACAGCCATCTGGGTTACTCGGGAGAGCACATGGGTTCTTGGGGTAGTCCTGTTGATTAACAGAGATTATACTGGGATATGGAAAGGAAAGAACAAGACAAATTAGGCCTGCCACAGCACATGGCAGTCATCTTAGCTGTCCTAAAATCAGCACAGAGCACAAGGGAAGGGAGATCTTGGGAAGTGCCACTGAAGACTGGGAAAAGTCCTTCTCGGTCCACCTCTAACCTCTTACAGTCAGTAAGTTCCAGCTTCCTCCTGAAAGGAAGTTCTTCCCGCCCTTCTTCTCCACAGAATAAGAACCATCCACCTCCCACCTCCTGATCCCCCAGACTAAGCCACTTGGAGTTCCAGCCAGACCACTTCCTGTTTCAGAAGTGCTACTTCCTGTCCTGGATGAAGGCACTTCCAGTTCCTGCTGCACTGCTTCTGCTACTTCCCAGGCCATTTCTGTCCGGGCCTGGTCACCTCTTGTCTGGAGCAAGTCACTTCCGGTCCCAAGTGGCCCATTCAGCATCAGACCAAGTCCATACATGTCCCGACCGGTTCATATCTTGCTATTGGCCACTGGACAAAACGGGACACTTCTTCTCATGGTAGCTGTCATGACCCAACCACCCCAAATGGCTGGAGTAAGTATGTAGAGGCCTGGGCCAGGCCAGAGAATGGAGCCCTGCTGCCCATGGCCTGAGCTGGGGTGGAGTGTCAGAGCCTTCCCCATAAGGCCCCCATTTTTGGCAGACTGAGGGGAGTGGTTGGTATGAGAGGTCAGAAGGGGGGCTGAAAGCTAAGGGGAGAAATGCTTTGATGCCCCCACCCAGGAGATGGGAGAGGCACAGGATAAGAAGCCAAGAGGGTGAAAGGAGATGTGGGGAGGAGGATGCTAGGGAAGAAGAACAGACCTAGAGACGGAAGAGAGGGAAAGAATAAGAGATAGAGAAGAGAAAACCAGTGAGAGGCAGAAAGAAGGCGGTGCCAACCAAAAGGTGGGCTGTTCCCGCCCCTAGCTCTGGGTGGGTGAGGGGGACAAGGATGCCTGGGTCATGGTCAGAGAGGAGGCTGAGCCTGTGCCCCTCCCCAAGGAAAAAGGATCCAGGGACACTGAGACAGAGGGGGGCACCCATGGCCAAACGGGAGGGCAGGAAGTGGGGCAGTGGGAATCCTAAGGAATCCTAAAAGTGGAGACGAGGACAGCAGCCGGGAGGAGTGAAGGGGCTGGGGGGGCACAGGGGGCCGAGATGTTAGAGGTGTCCCTCAAACCAGGAATTAAACTGGAGGAGCACCCCAAGAAGGGCTGGATTCAGGATAGCCACGTGAGAGGAGCCCTCATACCTTGTAGTAGATGTTTGGAGGGCTCTGGGGGGGCCCATCCTGCACGATATACACAGGATGCCCATAGTCACCACTCACCTTCTCATAGTGGGGGCAGAAGGGGGGATCTGCAGCCCCGCCACCCCGCAGAGCTATCCCTAGCTCCCCAGGCTCAGCCTCCCGAGGTCCCATCCCACCTCCACCCCCCAGGCCCAGAGACCCTCCCCTCCCGAAGGAGCCAGGACCAGGGTGGCGACTCTCCGAAGGCTTGGCCCGCCGTCTCCGCCAACACATGGCACCCCCAGCCCCTGCCACGCCCAGCAAGAGCAGCGCCAGCCCCCCTGCTGCCCCAGCCACTGCAGGCATGCTGGGAGGGGGCAGGGGGCCTTCAGCACCCCGGGAGGTTGCATTGCTGGTGGGGTCACCTGGCAGGGAAGGGGTGAAGGAGGAAAGAGGGGGAGGGACTGAAGGAGCCACCTGGGCACCTGGACACCCAACCCTGGGGGTCCCCATGGGCTTCCCTTGTAGCGCCCAGGCCCCTTGGGGACCCCATCTCTCCTCCCCCTCCGAACTCTGCTCAGAATCCAGGTGTCCAGCCCTTCAGCTTCCTGCCACGGAGTCCTCCCCACTTCTCTGACAGCACTGATTGAAGCACTGACTTGGCTAATTAGTTCTAATTGAGTCTTTTCCTCATTTGGTTTCCATTCCCCTCCCACCCTCCCATCCTCTCTTCTCCTCTTTCCTGTATCACCGCCCCCAAAACTGAAGAGGGAGGGAGGGTGACGGCAGGGCAGCTGGGGTCTGAGAGCAGAGGAAGCTGGGGAAGGCAGGGGCCTAGCCCCTGGTTCCTACCTGGCAGGTTCTCCTTCCCAGGCTCCAGGCTGTGGGCTGCCCCTCGGTCTCTTTCCATGGGCATTTCAGACACAGGTTTTCGGGGGACAGCCCCTCCTCGGGGACCTGGAGATGAGGAAGACCCAGAGAGGGGCTGAGACAACTGCCCCAACCATGATCGTACTGCCCCAACGTCCCTTCGTGCCCAGGAGGTGTCCCCCAGCCCCACTCACTTTGTCCCACTCGGAGAAGCACCTTCATGCCTCTGGTTAGGCACACACCTCCCTGCAGGCTCTCCAGGCCCTCCCGGGTCCCATCCGATGTGGCTGGGAGAGAAAAGCCAGAGGAAGAGGTTGGCACTCCAGAATCTAGCCCTGATTCTGGCCCCACACCCTGGTGTGAACACTGCCTGAGGGCACTGGGATCTCCCTCTTGGCTGCAGGGGTCCCCCTCCCTCTCTGCTCAGTATCAGGAGCCCCCCACTCAATCGTGCCCTCTGCCCAGCAGTACCAATGATGTAGTAATCGTGGTGCGAGCGGAACTCGTGGCCCCAGAGATTAGGGCTATACTCCTGGAACTTGATGGTGAAGCGGAGATCCAGGTCTGGGCGATCACAAGTGAGAAGGAGGTTTGGGGCAGGGGGTGCCTCACAGCGCCGGCCCTGAGCACCCCCTACCAGGTACAGCTTGTAGAACTCATAATTAGGAGAGGAGTGAGGGCCAGGAGGCCGGGCCCGGGGGCAGAGCAGGTCTAGCCGGTCCCCGATCTGAGGGTACAGCACATAACCACCCTCTGCCTGGAACCTATGGGGAGGAGGGTAAGGTGGACAAGGAAGAGATGTCAGAGGCCTGGCCCCCAGAACTTTCCTTCCCTCACCCCACAACCTTCCAGGACAGCAATTCTCAGCTCACGCTTGCCCGCCTTTGTCTGAGTGGAAAGTCTCTTCTTATAGAGCAGGCACCAAGGACTCTGTGCATTCACATTGGAAGCAGCAGGAAGCCAGGCTCAGGGGTCTCCTGCCCCTTGGTGTGCCCAAATGCACTCCACTCTTCAGCCCGCCCTCACCACATGCACACCGCCATCTCCCGCTCCATCACCAGCCCCGTTGCCATGGCAACAGGATGCCAGTTACCAAGGAGCTGGCCTCTCTGGAACCACACAGCCCACCCCTCCCAGGTGATTTCACTATTCCATGGCAGCCAACCATGCGGGCAGAGCCTCCCCTCCTTCAGGCCACCACTGAATTTCAGGGATTTCCGGGCAAAGGGGGCGGCGGTTCAGGGAGGGGCTGTGTGGAGGGTGGTCCAGACCAGTGTCCTAAGTTAGCCAGCTAATAGCACAGAAGGCAAATGCCTGGTTTGGCCACGACCATCATTGGGGCTGATGGGAACCAGGGTCTAGGAACCTGCTGCCTGAGTCATTCTCCCACTCAGAATCCCACACTGGGTCTTAGACTTCTGGGGCAAGTGCTCTATTGCTTTGGAAAGGAAAGGAGTTGACTTTTCTAACCACAACCAACACACTTCACCATCTCCTTGGCCAGTGCACCCAGGCATCCACTGTCCCAGCACAGCCACAACTTGCCAACCCCTGCAGCCCCTTCCTGGACATCAATAGCTGCTGAGACAGGGTCTCAGGACTGGGTCCCAGGGGACTGCTACTTGATATCTTCCCAGACTCCCAAGTGTCCCACTCCCACCCCACATCCGAAAGAGCCCCCAGGACACCCTAACTCCCTTTTCTCTACCCTGTGAAAACAAGCTTATGTTCTCAAGCTACACACCTGATACTCACATTGCAGCTGGGAGTTGGCAGGTGGGTGACTGAGTACAGAAAAGACATTGAGATTATACCCAAAGAGATCCAGGGAAAAGAGAGGGAGGGATGGCAGAGCAGAGAAGTGTGAGGGAGGCTGGGAAGTAAAGAGAGGAACAATAATCCTAGCTCTCCTTTAATGAGCACATAATACATTCAAACACCTTACCGCTAATCCTCATAATAGCTGTAAGGATTGAGGATACAAACTCAGAAAGGTTAAGTGACATGCCCAAGGCCACACAGCTGAAAGCGGCAGAGCTAGGATTAAGACCAAAGATTTGATGAGCTCCAAAGCCCACCCCCTTCCCATGGCCTCACACAGTCTCCCCAGGGAAGTAGGAATTTTTCAAAACACAGAACTCTTTTATGAGCGGGAAGTGGGATCCGCATGTAGGCAAGGGACCCAGGTGACCTCCCGAAGGTTCTGTCCTACCCAGCGTGGCTTGAAGTTTCATCTGACCCCTGGCCTCTTTTCAGAGCAAAGCTGGCATGCCATGGAACAGAGGGTCTGATGGAAGAGTTTGCAGCAAAGATTGGGGGAGGGGGCAATGGAGTCCTCCAGATGCAAAAGGGAAGGAAGGAGGGTTCAGGGGGCTCCAGGCTTCTTCCAGCAAGATGCCGGCAAGCCAGGAAGGCAGGAATATGTTCTGGCTGGGAAATCGTTCAGCCAACAGTTCACTGACCCTCTGGCTGTGGGGAAGAGTTGGGAGACAGACTGTGAAGAGAGTCAAGGAGCCTTGGGGAAGTTGTCCCCAGAGCCCCCAAACGGAACCCCCTTGCCTCCCATCTCGGATGCGCAGTCCCTCTGGGGGAGGGAGGCACCCTGCCCTGCCTTCCCCTCAGCGACTCGCAGCACCTAATCTGCAGCTCTCTCCTGAGAGCTGACAGTAACCAGGCTCCCTCCAAGCCCAGCCCCCGACGCAGGCCTCCCACAGATCCAAATACCCACCTCACTGCCCTCCCGGCTACCCATGAACTTTCTTCTCCTTGCCCCTTTGGGGTCTCCAAACTCCTGACATCCATAGCACCACCCGCATCCAGCTCTGCGTGGGACCCGGAGTCTGGCTCCCAAGATCACCTGTCTAGTAACCCATCACACATCAGAGCACCAGCACCTTCCCTCCCGCCTCCTCCCTGCCCACAGAAGCCCGCCTCCAAGCCCCCAGAGCTTCCCTACCCACTGCCCTAGGGTCTGGGATCTCCCCAGCCGCAGGCCACTCACCTCTTATTCGCCGAGTTCCAGTAGACAGGCTCCAGGCTGAGCCCAGACACCAGCCCCAAAACCCCCAGCAGCAGCAGGGCCCCGACTCGCACGCCCCCCGGCCCAGAATGGGGGGGCCCCATGACCCCGCCAAGGCCTGGGGGGCGGGGCACCAACTCCCCCAAAGTCGCCCACCCCCCGGGGTGGCTGCCTTGGCTGCCTGGCTCTTCAGCCCGGACCACCCCGGTAGCTGATGCCCCCAGCGCCCACGCGGACCTGCTTCCTGCTGTGCCCGCGCCCCCGCGGCAGAGCGCTCAGCCCCACCAGAGCCCTTCCAGGGGCCGTCTGCAGGCGCCCTACGCGCCCCCGGCCCACGCGCCAGCACCCCGGGATCTGTGAGCCCGCCTAAGTGGGGGACTGGGGGAGCCGGGGACCGGGCGGGGGCGGCATGGGGCGCCGGACCAGGGAGCGAGGAAGGGGGCGCCGAGCCGGAGCCCCAGCCTCGCTGGGATTGAGGGCAGCGGGCTAAGGGAGGAAACCAGTCCCGAGCCCAGGAGGGGGGAGTTAAAGGAGAGGCGGGGAGGGGCAGAGGATGGTGGAGGGAAAAACCGGAGCTGGAGCTCGAGGCGGAGCGGGCGGCAGCATCCCGCGGCCCACGCCCCCCACACCTCCCTCACCTCGCGCACCTCCCGCCCGCCGCCCCGCCTCAGCCCCCGGCGCGGGCTGTCACGCCCCCTTTGTCTCTCCGAGCCTCTGGCTCCGGCTGAGTTCTGCCCGGCTCCCCTCCTGCCCTCCGATCGCCCAAGCTGCTGGAATCTTCCTCTCTCGAATCCAGAAAGGCTCTCGCCCTCTCCACCCCGAGGAACCCACCCCTTTCGCTCCCGCAGCCTCCTCCTCCATCCCAAAACAACACCGCTGCTCCCGGCAGGTTTGGAGAGAATAATAATAACCTTGAAGGCTTGGCGCTTTACAAAGTGCGGCGGAGCTGATCGTCACGACTACCTGTGTGAAGTGGGAGGGGCAGAGCTAACGATCCCATTGCAGAGATGAGGAAACTGAGGCTCAGGGAGGCCCCGTGACTTGCCCAAGGTCACACAGGAAGTCTGGGATAAAGCTAGAAACCAAACCCAGGCTGCGCACCTCCCACTCTTGGGGTCTCTTTTGTCACTGCTCCATGGACCAAGTGCTGTTGTTACCTGGGGGTTAGTGAAAAACAAGAGTTTAGGGGATACACTTGGGTCTTTCCTAGATGGCTGGGGGGAGAAGCGGGGCTGGGAGAAGAAGGGGCGTACCTACAACCCCAAACCGGCGCTGCGCAGGAAGGGCTGTTTCCAATTATCCTGGGGGAAGGGAGGAGTTGCCTTTTCGGGTGTAAGAGCCCTGGCTTTCAGCACCTCTGGGCAGGGGTGACATTCCTCTCCCTCTCAAGCCTCCCCAGGCCTTTCGTCCCTTCCCTTTGATTGTGAGGTCCAAAATCACATCCCCTGCTGGCAGTATTTCTTCAAAGTCCCCCCATTCTCAGTGTTTGGGAAGGTGTTGGGGGGAGGAGGGAGGAGTCACTGCTTCAAATGACACACTCGTCCCCCACCCCCAAAGACAGAGCAGACAAATGGAGAAACAAGCCCAGCGACAGCCGCTGAATGAATAAGACCCTCGCCGCGCCCCGCATGGAACAGCAATATCAAAGGTGACGACTGTATTTTTCAACACCTTTACTCTTTTATGTGTGTCCTTGACTCTGGCAACTGGGTTGTCTGCCTCCTGGGGAGCCCCGGGGAGCGGAGGAGAGTGCTCCTGCTCCCCTCAGAGCTGAGTAATGGTCCCCATGCTGCTGGAGAATGGCAAACAGTGTGGAGTGTGGGCGACAGGCGCCCTGTCACTGTCTGCACAGTCTCACACGGTCACACCCAACAGTCTGACCCAGCTCCTGCTCAGCCCCGCTCACCCTGACCCCTGCCGCCCCCACCTTGGGAGTGAGATTTCAAACAGGTTTCCCCCTTCAGTTTACCAAGTTGCCTAGCAACCAACCAGTCAATGGCATGAAGCCCCACCCCCACCCACTTGACTTCACACCAAGCTCAGCCGCCCCATTGGCTCCTGCCTGGTCCCACCTCTCAACGCCTGGTTTCAGGACCAATATGCCATACCCACTGCTGCTGGACCAGGGAGCCCGCCAGTCCCCCTGCCTGGTCCCCCACCTCACTCATATGCCCCCCCAAAACAGACACGAAGACTCTAGTATCATAAAAACCTTTTTATATCAGCTCACCCACACCTCCCTCCGTTCCTCCCTGCCCTTTCTCGCCCTGGTGATCATCAGGGATGCTGGAGTCTGGCGCCCCCCCACACCACCAGAGCTGAAGCCGACATTCAAGGTGGACGTGGCGCGTGGAGAGCAAGGGAAGGCCCAGCTCCTCTCCTTCGTCCCCACTCTCTGTGGGCTCAGGAAACACACGCTGACCGGAGGCAGTGGCCAGGAGAGGCAGGCTAGGGTGCAGGCTGAGGGAGAGATGGGGAGGGTCTATCAGTGCCTTCAGTGAGGACACTTGCTCCCTCTGGGATTCACCTCCCTCCCCAACCCAAGCCCCAACATCTCTGGAATTGAACTGAGGACCTCACGCCATTGGTGCAGTCCTTCTGGGGCAGAAAACTCAACACGGGCTCCGGCTTCCCATCATTGCCAGGCCCGTCCGTGTCCCACACAGAGACAGCCCCGCTCGTGCTGCCACTCACTAGGAACTGCCCGGTCCTGCGAGAGAGAGGAGAGATTTGCTGGCAGAGGCCTCACCCCTGGGGCAGGAACCCCTCACACCCAGGGACTGGGACCCTACAGCTGGGCTCTGGCATTCCTAGGCTTATCAGGGCCCTGTGTAGGAAGGAGTCACAGCCACTCACGGGTCCAGATCGAAGTAGATGCGCTGATTGGTGGTCACCTCTCGACCCAGGGACCACAGTGGGTAACCAGACTGCCGGAGATCCCAGCACAGGAGCTCAGCATCCTGGAGACAAGGAACAGGACCTGGAGTCACCCCCAAAGCCCTGGATGTCCCTGCCTCCCTCGGGGTCTCCAGGCACTCCTTCAGCTTGGGATTTTTTCCCCATCCCCACCCATTCCCCTACACTGCAGACTACATCCCTGCTCCTGCCCCGCTGCCCAGCTGCTTTGGGCTCTCAGGGTGTGACCCCTACCTTGCGGGCTCCTGAGAAGAAGCGGTTGCCATCGGGATGAAAGCAGAGGTGGGTGATGCCCCCTTGGTGCCCTCCCAGCAAGGCGAGAGGGGAGCCATCATCCCAGGCATACAGACCCAGGGAGCGGCCGTAGGAGCCACAGGCATAGAGGGGCTGGGCTGGGCTGAAGGCTATGCAGGAGATGATGCCGCTCTGGCCCTGCTTTTTTGCTAGAGAGGGAAGGAACAAAGTGGGGGAGGGGGCAATGGCTCCTGGCACTAACCAGGCTAAGCAGAGGTCTGTCTCCCGTCCCAGCACCAACATGCTTGGACTCAACATCCCCCCCATGCTGTCTGTCACAAGCAGGACAAAGACCTCTGATGCTCCCCACATCTATCCTCCCAAAGGACCTAAATGCCCAAGCCCCACTTCATCCCTCTCAAATCCCAGTTCTTCCTTGGAGAGATGCAAGTTGAAGGCCTACAGGAAAACGGAATCAGCTTTATCAACAATTTTCTAGAAAGATTTCAGAGACCAAAAGCTCCACAGCTGACAGGGTATGAGTTCAGGAAGGAAGCAGTCCTTTGACCAGCTGGTTGGCCTTGGGAAGGTTTCCTACCTGCTCTGAGCCTGTTTGCTCCTCTGCCGACTGGGCTGCACCTGCTCCCGGGGCCGTACAGAGGACGGCGTGAACCCCCACAGGTGGCCCCCGGCTCACAAAAGGCCCCTGTGCAGGTGGCAGTGCCCTTCCCTCTCCTCCTCCCTTGGAGGCACAGATGCTTACCAAATGTGGCTCGGACCTCGCAGTCTCGGCCAGGCCGGGCCGTGGAAAAAACACGCACAGTCCGGTTGAAGCCACAGAAGAGCTGGGAGCCATCCGGGGAGAAGCAGAGCGAATGGGCTGCCGTCAGCTCATCCTGGGGGAAGGAAAGGGCTGAAAACAGGTCTTGCAAAGCCTCAGCTGCCCTCAAGGAAGGAGAGCCGGGCCAGTACGAGTGCTGGGGCTGAGTATGGCGGTCCCTACCAGGTGGTTGTAGGCGCGAAAGGAAGCCCGGAGCTCTCCAGTGAATGCGTCCCAGATATGAATCGGGTTCTCCCGGCTGCTGCTGGCCACGCTGAGAGAGACATGGACACTGAAACCCCGGTGCTGTCAAAGGAAGGGGAGGAATGGCCGGGCACAGTGGCTCATGCCTGTAATCCCAGCACTTTGGGAGGCCAAGGCAGGTGGATCACTTGAGGTCAGGAGTTCGAGACCAGCCTGGCCAACATGGTGAAACCCTGTCTCTACTAAAAATACAAAAATGAGGCTGGGTGTGGTGGCTCATGCCTGTAATCCAAGCACTTCAGGAGGCCAAGGCAGGTGGATCACCTGAGGTCAGTTCGAGACCAGCCTGGCCAACGTGGTGAAACCCCATCTCTATGAAAAATACACAATTAGCTGGGTGTGGTGGTGCACACCTGTAATCCCAGCTACTCAGGAGGCTGAGGCAGGAGAATCACTTCAACCTGGGAGGCGGAGGTTGCAGTGAGCTGAGACTGCATCACCGCCCTCCAGCCTGGGTGACAGAGGGAGACTCAATCTAAAAAAAAAAAAAGGAAGGGGAGGAAGCCAACTGACCAGCCCCTCTGATAAGCATGCCAAGCCTTCCTCCTCCAAAGACCCCTGGCAGCCCTTGACTCTCCCAAGAGGCCCTGCTTGAAACTGGGTGGTGGGGCGGCGAGCAGGGAGGCAAACATTACTTACTAGGAGGTGTCTGGCTGGGCTGAGGACATCAGAGAATACCAGCAGTAATCATAGATGGTATCACCTTCCACCATTCGAAGGACAGGGACCTATACAGAGACGGGGGAATGGCTGAGTCACTCGGAGGGAAAAGGAGTCTGAGGCGCGTGCCTCTAGCAGTGTTGTGGCAGATGGGGTGTATATATGGAGCACAGACTCTGTCTCAATGTTCAAGGGTGAGCTCAGACTTTAATGTCAAATTTAGCCACCAAAAGCCATATAGATTCATACTTTTTTTTTTTTATTATTTTGAGACAGAGCATGCACCACCATGCCTGGCTAATTTTGTTTTTGTTTTTTTTTTTAATAGAGACAGGGTTTCACCATGATGTTGGCCAGGCTGGTCTCAAACTTCTGACCTCAGGTGATCCACCCGCCTCAGCCTCCAAAAGTGCTGGGATTACAGGTGTGAGCCACCGTGCCGGGCCTTATACTTTTTCTTTATAAACACTTAGAGAGGAAGAAACAAATAATAATACCTCAACCCAGAGACAAAGAACCAACCAATTATTCAAATACTTACTGAGTACATGCTAGGTGCCATTTGATCCTTTAAAAAAATATTAGTACAAAAATTTGCCAGGCGTGGTGGTGGACACCTGTAATCCCAGATACTCAGGAGGCTGAGGCAGGAGAATCCCTTGAACCCAGGAGACAAAGGTTGCAGTGAGCTGAGATCGCACCACTGCACTCCACCCTAGGTGACAGAGAGACAGTGCCCCCCAAAAAAAAAAGAAAAAGAAAAGAAAAAAATTATCGGCTGAGCACAGTGGCTCACACCTGTAATCCCAGCACTTAGGGAGGCTGAGGCAGGCAGATCACTTGAGCCCAGGAGTTCAAGACCAGCCTGGGCAATATGGTGAAACACTGTCTCTACAAGAAAAAAAAATTAGCTGGGCATGGTAGTGCATGCCTGTAGTCCCAGCTACTAGGGAGGCTGAGGCATGAGAATTGCTTGAGCCCAGGAGATAGAGACCACAGTGAGCTGAGATCATTGCCACTGCACTCCAGCCTGGGCAACAGAAACACTGTCTCAAAAATACAAAAATGGAAACAAAAAAACCTCCTTACAAAAATAAAGAAAAAAAATTAAACAGTTCAAACATACAAAGTATCTTATTAAAAAAACAGCCCTGTGACCCCTCCATCCAGCTGAACAAAAAGATATGTTTAAACCCCTTTCCTAACAGAAACTCTCCCTCAGAGGTAAACACTATCTTGAATTTATCACTGTCATACATTTCCTTAGGAATATATATATATATATAAATATATATATATATATATAAATATATATATATATATATATATATAAATATATATATATATATAAATATATATATATATATAAATTTTTTTTTTTTAATTTTAAAGGCAGAGTCTCACTCTGTCACCCAGGCTGAGTGCAGTGGCACGATCTCAGTTCACTGCAACCTCCACCTCCCAGGTTCAAGCAATTCTTGTGTCTCAGCCTCCCGAGTAGCTGGGATTGCAGGAGTTCACCTCCATGCTCAGCTAATTTTTTGTATTTTTAGTATAGACAGGGTTTCGCCACGTTGGCCAGGCTGGTCTCGAACTCTTGGCCTCAAGTGATCTTTCTGCCTCAGCCTCCCAAAGTGCTGGGATTACAGGTGTGAGCCACTGCGCCCAGCCTAGGAGTATATTCATATGGGAAAAAAAACAGTATCTAACGTTGTCTTGCAGGTCTTTAGACTTAATTTTTTCTTTTCTTAGAGACAGGGTCTTACTCTGTTGCCTAGGCTGGAGCACAGTGGCGCAATCATCTCACTGAAACCTCAAACTCCTGGGCTCAAGCAAACAATCCCCTGGCCTCAGCCTCCCTAGTAACTGGGAATATAAGCATAAGCCACCATACCTGGCTTATTTATTTATTTATTTATTTATTTATTTATTTTTGACGGAGTCTCGCTCTGTCGCCCAGGCTGGAATGCAGTGGCACAATCTTGGCTCACTGCAACCTCTGCCTCCCAGACTCAAGCAATTCTCTGCCTCAGCCTCCTGAGTAGCTACGATTACAGGCGCCTGCTATCACGCCCGGCTAATTTTTTTGTATTTTTAGTAGAGACGGGGTTTCACCATCTTGGCCAGGCTGGTCTTGAACTCCTGACCTCGTGATCCACCCACCTCAGTCTCCCAAGTGCTGGGATTACAGGCATGAGACACCACGCCCAGCCTGCCCGGCTAATCTTTAAAATTATTTTTTTGTAGAAACAGGGGTCTGTGTTGCTCACGCTGGTCTAAAACTCCTGGCCTCAAGCAATCCAGCCACCTCAGCCTTTCAATGCACTGGGATTACAAGCATGAGCCACCATGCCCGGCCTAGACTTAACAGTAATGGTATTATATCATATACATCCCTCTGTGATAGCAAGCTTTAACCATGGAAACACATTTTGCTCTAATTCATGCATTTTCACTGGTGTATAGTACTCTACTCATGAATATATTCAAACTGATCTACCCTTCTTCTATTTAGAATCACTGATGTTTTTCTGTTTTTTGGCTAGTGTGCTTTAACATTCTGTACACATGTAGAAGGGTTTCTCTACAGTTTCTGCTGAAGAGTAAAATTACTGGTCTCTACGCTATGCACTTTGCAAACTTTGTAAGATACTATAATGTCAATTTCTTTCCCAAAGCACTTGTCCCAATGTCCTCTCCCACCAGCAGTGTATAAGAGTCTCTATTCTAGCCTGGGCAATATAGCAAGACCCCAGTTTTACAAAAAATTAAAAAATTAGTCAGGCATATTGGCATACTTGTAGTCCCACCTGTTTGGGAGAGTGAGGCAGGAGGACTGCTTGACCCCAGGAGTTTGAGGCTACAGTGTGCCATGTTCGCACCACTGCACTCCAGCCTGGGCAACAGAACAAGATCCTGTCTCCAAAAAAAAAAAAAAGTGTCTATTGTTCTTTATCTTCTTGGTATTGCCAGACTTTTACATTTTTCTCAATTTGAAGGTGGTGAAATGGTATTTCATTACAGCATAAATTTGTATTTCCATCATTACTATAAGAGAGATTAGATATTTCCTCTATGTTTACTGGCCATTTAGTTAGGTACACCTTTTCATAAATTTTGCCCATTTTCTTTTTCTTTTTTTTTCTTTTTGAGACAGAGTCTTTCTCTGTTCCCCAAGCTGGGGTGCAGTGGCACGATCTTGGCTCACTACAACCTCTGCCTCCTGGGTTCAAGCGACTCTCATGCCTCAGCCTCCCAAGGAGCCGGGACCACAGGCATTTGCCACCACGCCCGGCTAATTTTTATACTTTTTAGTAGAGATGGGGTTTCACCATGTTGGCCAGGCTGGTCTCAAACTCCCAGCCTCAAGTGATCTGCCTACCTCGGCCTCCCAAAGTGGGGATTACAGGTGTGAGCCACCATGCCTGACCAGTTGTTGTCTTTTTCTTTTCTTCTCTTTTTTCTTTTTCTTTTCTTTTTTTTTTTTTGGAGGCAGAGTCTCCCTCTGTCCCCAGGCTGGAGTGCAGTGGCACGATCTCGGCTCACTACTACCTCCACCTCCCAGGTTCAAGCAATTCTCCTGCCTCAGCCTCCTGAGTAGCTGGGATTACAGGCGCCTGCCACCACACCCGGCTAATTTTTGTATTTTTAGTAGAGACGGGATTTTGCCATGTTGGTCAGGCTGGTCTTGAACTCCTGACCTCGGGTGATCCACCTGCCTCGGCTTCCCAAAGTGCTGGGATTACAGGCATGAGCCACCATGCCCAGCCGTCTTTTTCTTACTGATTTGTGAGAGATAAATAGTCTGGACACTGTCCTTCGTCAGTTGTCTTCTGGGCCTCAGGCTGATGTCAACCAGCCAGGACTTCAGTGTCCACCTCTATACTCTGAACCCATATATCCAACTGCCTGGTGGACAGTGCCACTTGATCATCCCACAGGTTCCTCAAACTCAATTTGTCCATAATAGGCCCGGCATCCACCACCATCAAACCTGCTGTTCCTCCTGGACTCCACACCAGTGCTCAATCCTGAAATCTGAGCACCAGCCTTGACTGCTACCACTCTTCACTTCCTTTCCACTCCTGGTCCAACCCAATACCAAATCTTGCCAGTTCCTCCTCCTAGTCTTCCATTACCACGTGCTACCCCCGACCCACCTCTCAAGGCTTATCTCTATCTGCTAATTCCCATAAAAATCTCTGAGTCCTGACCGGGCGCAGTGGCTCACGCCAGTAATCCCAGCACTTTGGGAGGCCAAGGCGGGCGGATCACAAGGTCAGGAGATCGAGACCATCCTGGCTAACGTGGTGAAACCCCGTGTCTACTAAAAACACAAAAAATTAGCCAGGCGTGGTGGCGGGCGCCTGTAGTCCCAGCTACTCGGGAGGCTGAGGCAGGAGAATGGCGTGAACCTGGGAGGCGGAGCTTGCAGTGAACCCAGATCGCGCCACTGCACTCCAGCCTGGGCGACAGAGCAAGACTCCATTTCAAAAAAAAAAAAAAAAAAAAAAAAAATCTCTGAGTCCCGCCATTTTGACTCTCAGGTCCCATAAAGTGCCAACTCGCCACACTTTCAACCCACTGGCTTTCACATGTCCTAGGCTCCAAGTCTGGAATATTCTTCCTTCATCTCCCCCAACGACTCCTCCTGGCTGAATCCTAGTCATCCTTCAGGTCTCTTAGATGCTTCTTCCTCTGGGAACGCTTCCCTAACCCCTCCAGCTAAGCAAGGCGCCCCTGTTCCTCTTTCCTATAGCCCCTGGTGCTCCTCACTCCCCTTCCGTCATACCTATCAGAGAAGGAGGGAATCACATCTGCCTCGCTCTCACCACTGCTTCCCCAACACGTGGTGCAGAATAAGCAGAGTCAACAAATACGGTTTTAATGAGCAAAAGGAGGCAGGAGACTGTTTCAGCAACATAAGGCCCAAAATAATAGGACCTTGAATTAAAGTAGAGGCAGTGGGAGGGACAGATGTGGGTGGATTAGGAAGATTAGGCAGACTTGATGGGATTTGGGAAGTAATTGGATGTGAGGGGTTAGGAACAGGGAGATTAAAGATTAAAGGATGAGAGAGACCCTGGCTTTTGGCTTGGATACCTGAGGTCACCAAAATGGCGGGCGAACAGGAGAGCACCGGAAGGCTGTACAGTGCCAACGTCGTCAGCGGGAGAGAGAATCAGCATAAGCCTCAAGGGAAAAGTTTCACAAAGACGAAAGAGCAATTGTGTGGCTACAGCATTTGGGAATGAGGACATTCCCCGTCCCCACCCTGAGAGATAAAGGGTACAGAGGATGCAAAGTGTCTCCTGGAGAGGGCAAGACGAGGAGTAAAGGCTTCCTGCAAGACCCACGGGGCAGGGCAAGTACTCAGGAAAGACGCTGGGGAGCTGGAAATGAGACTTGCAGAAAGTTCTGTGAAAAGGTGGAAAAGAAAGGAGAAAACCCGAGAAACTATATTGGGAAGAAGACTCAGTACACACAAGTATATGGAAATACCCAAATACACCCTTCCCCAATTTTCTGACCTATACAAATTTTATCTATTTAAGGCCGGGTGCAGTGGCTCACGCCTGTAATCCCAGCACTTTGAGAGGCCAAGGCGGGCGGATCACGAGGTCAGGAGATCGAGACCATCCTGGCTAACATGGTGAAACCCCGACTGTACTAAAAATACAAAAAATTAGCCTGGCGTGGTGGCAGTGGGTGCGTGTAGTCCCAGCTACTCGAGAGGCTGAGGCAGGAGAATGGCGTGAACCCGGGAGGCGGAGCTTGCAGTGAGCTGAGATCGCGCCACTGCACTCCAGCCTGGGGGACACAGCAAGACTCCATCTCAAAAAAAAAAAGTTATCTATTTCAAATGCTAAGCTTGTAGACACTAAAAATGAAAATACCTAATGAGAGAGGTTGCGATAGAACTGGTACACTAGCAGGAAAAAAAAAAAAAAAAGCACAAAAAGGTTTTGGTTGTTTGTTTTGAGACAGAGTCTCACTCTGTCGCCCAGGCTAGAGTACAATGGTGCAATCAAAGGTCATGGCAGCCTCAACCTCGCAGGCTCAAGCGATCCTCCCACCTCAGCCTCCCAAGTAGCTGGGACCATAGGCCCAACTTTTTTGATAGAGACAGGATCTGGCTGTGTTACCAAGGCTGGTCTCAAACTCCTGGGCTCAAGCATTCCTCCCACCTTGGTCTCCCAAAGTGCTGGGATTATAGGCATGAGCCACCACACCAGCCACAAAAATCTTTTGAAAACAAACTGACTGGCCAGGAGCAGTGGCTCACGCCTGTAATCCCAGCACTTTAGGAGGCGGAAATGGGTGGATCACTTGAGGTCGGGAGTTTGAGACCAGCCTGGCCAACTTGGCGAAACCCCATCTCTACTAAAAATACAAAAATTAGCCGGGTGCGGTGGTGCGTGCCTGTAATCCCAGCTACTCAGGAAGCTGAGGCAGGAGAATCGCTTGAACCGGGAAACAGAGGTTGCAGTGAGGCAAGATCACACCACTGCTCTCCAGCCTGGGCCACAGAGCGAGACTCTGTCTCAAAAAAAAAAAAAAAAAAAGAAAGAAAAAAAGAAAACAAATTGACTATCTGTATTGCAAGATATATTTTTTAAAATGTTTTAATATTATAATCATTAATATCATAATCACGACCATGCCTGGCTAACTTTGTATCTTTTTTAGTAGAGACGGGGTTTCACCATATTGGCCAGGCTGGTCTCGAACTCCTGACCTTAGGTGATCCACCCGCCTCGGCCTCCCAAAGTGTCGGGATTACAGGCGTGAGCCACCAGGCCTGACCCTGCTCTGCTATTTCTACCATGACAATTTATTCAGCTTCATCAAAAACTTATTTACAGTCCAGTTCCTTACCCACTGTAGATTCTAGTCCACCATGGCATGCACACTCTTGAAGACACTCTCAGGATACCCTTGTCTTTCTCTCCTGGTAAACCTCAACCATACCATCCTCCTATTCTTGGCTTGCACACAACTGATACCAGTGACTACTAGTGTTTACCGAACACTTACTATATGCTAGGTGCTGTTTTAAGTACTTTTTTTTAATTTTATTATTTTTTTTTGAGACTAAGTCTTGCTCTCTTGCCCAGGCTGGAGTGCAGTGGTGCGATCAGCTCACTGCAACCTTCGCCTCCTGGATTCAAGCAATTCTCCTGCCTCAAACCTCCCAAGTAGCTGGGATTACAGGCGCCCGCCACTAAGCCCGGCTAATTTTTGTATTTTTAGTAAAGACAGGGTTTCACTATGTTGGCCAGGTCGGTCTTGAATTCCTGACCTCAGGCGATCCACCTGCCTCGGCCCCCCAAAGTGCTGGGATTATAGGCGTGAGCCACCGCACCCGGCCTTAAGTGCTTTAATTCATTACTGATTATTTTAATTCTCACAACTCTGTGAGGCAGGTGCTATTATAATCATCCCCATTTTACAAACAGAGAAACTATAGTCATTTAACTTGCCAGGAAAGATGCACAGTCACACTAACTGGTCTCATTTCAAATTAATGGCAACAGACCTCTAGCGGGTACCGAGCAAAGAGCAACACAACTGCCACATGCCTTGGTGGGTCTGATTTTTTGAAACTCCGTCTCAAAAAAAAGAAAAAAAAGAAAGAGTGCTGATGGAGGAGGAGAAGGCCCAGCAGAGCCCTGAGTGCCTGAGTGCTCCAGCGCAGGGAGGTGGAGACAGTGACTCATGCTGCTAAGAGATGCAGTGAGGCGAATTTAGAGAATGACCCAAGAGGGGCTGGGCGCGGTGGCTCATGCTTGTAATCCCAGCACTTTGGGAGGCCGAGGCAGGAGGATCACGAGGTCAGGAGATCGAGACCATGGTGAAACCCCGTCTCTACTAAAAATACAAAAAATTAGCCAGGCGTGGTGGCGGGCGCCTGTAGTCCCAGCTACTCGGGAGAGGCTGAGGCAGGAGAATGGCGTGATCCCGGGAGGCAGAGCTTGCAGTGAGCTGAGATGGCGCCACTGCACTCCAGCTGGGTGACAGAGCGAGACTCTGTCTCAAAAAAAAAAAAAAAAAAAAAAAAGGAGAATGACCCAAGAGGACATTAGTGACCTTGACAAGAGCACTTTCAGGAAGCGATGGAGGCAGAACCTGATTAGGATGGGTGGGAGAAAACTATAGCCAATCTTTTTTTTTTTTTTTTTTTTTTGAGACGGAGTCTTACACTGTTGCCTGGACTGGAGTGCAGTGGTGCAATCCTGGCTCACTGCAACCTCCATCTCCTTGGTTCAAGTAATTCTCCTGCCTCAGACTCCAGAGTAGCTGGGATTACAGGCGCCCGCCACCACGCCCAGCTAATTTTTTGTATTTTTAATAGAGATGGGGTTTCATCATGTTGGCCAGGCTGGTCTCGAACTCCTGACCTCAGGTGATCCACCTGCCTCAGCCTCCCAAAGTGCTGGGATTACAGGAGTCAGCCACCGCACCCAGCCCCAACTAATTTTTGTATTTGAGTAGAGACAGGGTTTTACCATGTTGGCCAGGCTGGTCTAAAACTCTTCACCTCAGGTGATCCACCCATCTCAGCCTCCCAAAGTGTTGGGATTACAGGCGTGAGCCACCGTGCCTGGCCCTGGATTTCACTCTTGCCCACCCATAAACCATTCACTCTTCTGTTTTAAAACTCTCTTGGCCGGGCGCAGTGGCTCATGCCTGTAATCCCAGCACTTTGGGAGGCCAAGGTGGGCAGATCACAAGGTCAGGAGTTCGAGACCAGCCTGGCCAATATGATGAACCCCCCATCTCTACTAAAAAAATACAAAAAAATTAGCCGGGTGTGGTGGCACATGCCTGTAATCCCAGCTACTCGGAAGGTTGAGGCAGGAGAATCACTTAAACCTGGGAGGCGGAGGTTGCGGTGAGCTGAGATGGTGCCACTGCACTCCAGCCTGGACAACAGAGCAAGACTCTGTCTCAAACAAACAAACAAAAAAAACCTCTCTCATGGCCTGGCATGGTGGCTCACGCCTGTAATCCTAGCACTTTGGAAGGCTGAGGCAGGTGGATCACCTGAGGTCAGGAGTTTGAGACCAGCCAGGCCAACGTGGCAAAACCTGTCTCTACTAAAAATACAAAAATTAAGCCAGGCGCGGTGGCTCATGCCTATAATCCCAGCACTTTGGGAGGCCGAGACCGGCGGATCAAATGTCAGGAGTACGAGACCATCCTGGCCAATATGGTAAAACCCCGTCTCTATTTAAAAAAATACAAAAATTAGCTGGGCATGGTGGCGGGTGCCTGTAATCCCAGCTACTCGGGAGGCTGAGGCAGGAGAATCGCTTGAATCCAGGAGGCAGAGGTTGCAGTGAGCCGAGATCACGCCATTGCACTCCAGCCTGGGCGACAGAGCAAGACTCGTCTCAAAAAAAAAAAAAAAACACCTCTCTCATGACTTCCCAAATAAACTCCAAATGCCTTACCCATAAGAACCAACACGACGTGGCTGCTCTTCTCTGTCCTCACCCCTCTGTCCCCCTCACTTGCCTCAGTCTGGCTATACCAGCATTCTGGGTTTTTTGTTTTGTGTTTGTTTGTTTGTTTGTTTGTTTGTTTGTTTGTTTTGGGATGGAGTCTCACTCTGTCACCCAGGCTGGAGTGCAGTGACATGATCTTGGCTCACTGCAACCTCCATCTCCTGGGTTCAAATGATTCTTCTGCTTCAGCCTCTCAAGTAGCTGGGATTACAGGCACCCACCATCACACCCAGCTAATTTTTGTATTTTTGTAGAGATGAGGTTTTGCCATGTTGGCCAGGCTGGTCTCAAACTCTTGACCTCAGGTGATCTGCCCACCTCAGCCTCCCAAAGTGCTGGGATTACAGGTGTGAGCCACTGAGCCCAGTCTGTTTTGTTGTTTTTTGAGATGGAGTCTCACTCTGTCGCCCAGGCTGGAGTGCAGTGGTACAATTTTGTCTGACTGCAGCCTCCACCTCCTGAGTTTAAGAGATTCTCCTGCCTCAGCCACACAAGTAGCTGGGATTACAGGCGCGTGCCACCACATGCGTCTAATTTTGGTATTTTTAGTAGCGATGGGGTTTTGCCATATTGGCCAGGCTGGTCTCGAACTCCTGGCCTCAAGTGATCTGCACACCTCGGCCTCCTGAGTAGCTGGGATTACAGGCGTGAGCCACCATGCAGGGCCTTTCTGGTCTTTTAACGCACAAAGCTATTTCCCAGTTCTGGGTGTTTATAGTATCATTGCCAGTTCCTGGAAAGCTCTTTCCAGAAGCCTTCACATGACTGATCCCTTATCCTCCTTCAGGTCTTAGCTCAAATGCCTCCTTTTCAGAGAGCTCCTTCCTGACCATTTTATGCAATGTGCTTTCCTCTAGTTAGTCTCTCTTCATTCTGTGTATTTCCTTCAGAGCATTTATCATCATCTTGGTCCTGATGCTTGCTGGTTTACATGTTTGTTGTCTGTCTCCCACACAGAAAGCAAACCAGCCCTTCATCTGTCTTGTCCACCACTTTATCCCAGCACAGTGACTAACATATATCAGTAGTCAATCAATAAATAGCTATAAGCCAGGCACGGTGACTCACACCTGTGATCCCCGCACTTTGGGAGGCCAAGGTGGGCGGATCCTCTGAGGTCAGGAATTTGATATCAGCCTGCCCAACATGGCGAAACCCCGTCTCTACTAAAACTATAAAAATTAGTCGAGTGTGATGGCGTGCGCCTGTAATACCAGCTACTTGTGAGGCTGAGGCAGGAGAATCGCTTGAACCCGGGAGGCAGAGGTTGCAGTGAGCCGAGATCACACCACAGCACTCCAGCCTGGGTGACAGAGCAAGACCTTGTCTCAAAAAAATAAGAAATAGAAATATATATATGCTGCCACAAGAAATTCACTACTTTTTAGCAAAAAACACAGATTCCTAATTAAAGAAAGGGGAAACCTCTCTCTAAATAACTTCAGAATTCGGGGCAGAAAACGCTACATGTGGAAACTCGTCTTGAAAAACAGTCCCGTTTGTGAACAGGAAACACTTGGACTACACTTTTTCCATCTCCACGAAGGACTTAAATGTGCAGCATTGATGAAGAGGCAGTTAGCCCCAGTCCTTACCATTTCTGCATATTCCACCTGCTCCCCCTCATGGTACAGCTCTGGGGGCAGGTTATAAATTCGCAAGATGTTATCAGCACTATTGGTCAAGATGCAGGAACCGTCAGGAGCCCTAGAAACAGGGGAGAGTTAGAAAGCTGGCCAGACCTATGCTTTTCAAGTGTAGGGCTAGGGCTGAGCCTGCCTCTGGGGTAGGTAAGCCCCCCTGAATCCTTGAGGGAAGTAGAAGACACAAACTGCTAGATAAAATGTAAGCTCAGTCTAAAAGGGCTACGTGCCGCTTCTCCCAGCTCTGGGGCATCCCTCTCCTAGAAAACTGGACTGTTTTACAGTGAAAATCTCGGGGGTGGTCAGCTCCCTGCCCCGTTGTTATCCTTACCACTTACAGCCTTTCAAGAAGTTCTCAGGTTGGGTGCTGAACTCTGACCAGGAACCACTGAGAAATCGAGGCAGCTGGGAGAAGCTGTAGTTCCAAGCGCTGAAAGGAAGATGGGGGACAATAAACCTGGGTCGCCAAGCAAAGGGGGCAGAGGCCTGGAGAAGTGGGTCTCAGGACCAGAGGACAGATCGACCTCACACTTCATCTCCCCAGACTCCACACTCCACTGCCATCACCACTTACGTGTCTCCCTCGTCCTCTGCAGCGGGTTCCCCAGAGGTATCTTCCATGGCTTTTCCAGACCCCAACTCTGGCCCGTTCGCTTCTTCTTCAGAAAGGCTCCCGTTTGCTTCTTCTGCAGGAAGGCTTGTATTTTCAGAAAGTTCTTGCTCCTCGATTCGAGGACTCAACTCACTAGGGGAACCAAACTCTGTTTCCAGGGGAGTGGAGAGAGAAACTGGGTCCCCCTCCCGTAGCTCCTGGGACACAGCTGAGCCAGCCACAGGATCTGGGGACAACCGGGGCGGATCCCCCCTTTCGGGAGGCGGTGGCATCAGTTCAGAGTCCGCATTTTTATTCATCGGGGAAGCGTGGGGAGAAGGATGGGCTGGAGCTGGGTCCTGGTCTGAAGGACAGCAGTCCGGAGCTAACGGTTGAGTCTCCAAAGTCTTCATACTGCAGAGGAAGCACAGCGGAGATTAGCCTCAGCCAGGATGGCTTCGAAGTTCTCAGGGATCCGACGCAGAGCTAAAGAAACCCACCTGTGCTTCCCTCCTCTTCTGGGAGTAGGCAGAAGACTCCCGGGAGGAGAGGCGAACAGCGGACGCCAATTCTTTTGAAAGCACTGTGTTCCTTAGCACCGCGGGTCGCTACGGGCCTCTTGCTGTCGCGGGATTTCGGTCCACCTTCCGATTGGGCCGCCGCATCCCGGATCAGATTTCGCGGGCGACCCACGGAACCCGCGGAGCCGGGACGTGAAAGGTTAGAAGGTTTCCCGTTCCCATCAAGCCCTAGGGCTCCTCGTGGCTGCTGGGAGTTGTAGTCTGAACGCTTCTATCTTGGCGAGAAGCGCCTACGCTCCCCCTACCGAGTCCCGCGGTAATTCTTAAAGCACCTGCACCGCCCCCCCGCCGCCTGCAGAGGGCGCAGCAGGTCTTGCACCTCTTCTGCATCTCATTCTCCAGGCTTCAGACCTGTCTCCCTCATTCAAAAAATATTTATTATCGAGCTCTTACTTGCTACCCAGCACTGATATAGGCACTCAGGAATACAACAATGAATAAGATAGTAGAAAAATTCTATATCCTCATAAGGCTTACGTTTCCATGTACTGAAAGCAATGAACAAATAAATCTTATCAGAGTGATAAGGGTTGTGAAGGAGATTAAATAAGATGGTGTGATATAAAGTATCTGGGAGAAAACGTTAGGGTGTGATATTACGGAAAGCCTTCCTAAAAAATGACATTTTAACTGATGAGAAGAAAGGATCCAGCTGAGAGCAAACGCAAAAGCTTTCTTCCTTCCACCCTTCATATTTGACACAATGCAGGATTCCTCCAAAATGATTTCCACCAATTCTGCCCTCACAGCTCTGGCTTGCAGAATTTTCCACCCCAAAATGTTAGTATCTACGGCACCAGGTCGGCGAGAATCCTGACTCTGCACCCTCCTCCCCAACTCCATTTCCTTTGCTTCCTCCGGCAGGCGGATTACTTGCCCTTACTTGTCATGGCGACTGTCCAGCTTTGTGCCAGGAGCCTCGCAGGGGTTGATGGGATTGGGGTTTTCCCCTCCCATGTGCTCAAGACTGGCGCTAAAAGTTTTGAGCTTCTCAAAAGTCTAGAGCCACCGTCCAGGGAGCAGGTAGCTGCTGGGCTCCGGGGACACTTTGCGTTCGGGCTGGGAGCGTGCTTTCCACGACGGTGACACGCTTCCCTGGATTGGGTAAGCTCCTGACTGAACTTGATGAGTCCTCTCTGAGTCACGGGCTCTCGGCTCCGTGTATTTTCAGCTCGGGAAAATCGCTGGGGCTGGGGGTGGGGCAGTGGGGACTTAGCGAGTTTGGGGGTGAGTGGGATGGAAGCTTGGCTAGAGGGATCATCATAGGAGTTGCATTGTTGGGAGACCTGGGTGTAGATGATGGGGATGTTAGGACCATCCGAACTCAAAGTTGAACGCCTAGGCAGAGGAGTGGAGCTTTGGGGAACCTTGAGCCGGCCTAAAGCGTACTTCTTTGCACATCCACCCGGTGCTGGGCGTAGGGAATCCCTGAAATAAAAGATGCACAAAGCATTGAGGTCTGAGACTTTTGGATCTCGAAACATTGAGAACTCATAGCTGTATATTTTAGAGCCCATGGCATCCTAGTGAAAACTGGGGCTCCATTCCGAAATGATCATTTGGGGGTGATCCGGGGAGCCCAAGCTGCTAAGGTCCCACAACTTCCGGACCTTTGTCCTTCCTGGAGCGATCTTTCCAGGCAGCCCCCGGCTCCGCTAGATGGAGAAAATCCAATTGAAGGCTGTCAGTCGTGGAAGTGAGAAGTGCTAAACCAGGGGTTTGCCCGCCAGGCCGAGGAGGACCGTCGCAATCTGAGAGGCCCGGCAGCCCTGTTATTGTTTGGCTCCACATTTACATTTCTGCCTCTTGCAGCAGCATTTCCGGTTTCTTTTTGCCGGAGCAGCTCACTATTCACCCGATGAGAGGGGAGGAGAGAGAGAGAAAATGTCCTTTAGGCCGGTTCCTCTTACTTGGCAGAGGGAGGCTGCTATTCTCCGCCTGCATTTCTTTTTCTGGATTACTTAGTTATGGCCTTTGCAAAGGCAGGGGTATTTGTTTTGATGCAAACCTCAATCCCTCCCCTTCTTTGAATGGTGTGCCCCACCCCGCGGGTCGCCTGCAACCTAGGCGGACGCTACCATGGCGTGAGACAGGGAGGGAAAGAAGTGTGCAGAAGGCAAGCCCGGAGGTATTTTCAAGAATGAGTATATCTCATCTTCCCGGAGGAAAAAAAAAAAGAATGGGTACGTCTGAGAATCAAATTTTGAAAGAGTGCAATGATGGGTCGTTTGATAATTTGTCGGAAAAACAATCTACCTGTTATCTAGCTTTGGGCTAGGCCATTCCAGTTCCAGACGCAGGCTGAACGTCGTGAAGCGGAAGGGGCGGGCCCGCAGGCGTCCGTGTGGTCCTCCGTGCAGCCCTCCGGCCCGAGCCGGTTCTTCCTGGTAGGAGGCGGAACTCGAATTCATTTCTCCCGCTGCCCCATCTCTTAGCTCGCGGTTGTTTCATTCCGCAGTTTCTTCCCATGCACCTGCCGCGTACCGGCCACTTTGTGCCGTACTTACGTCATCTTTTTCCTAAATCGAGGTGGCATTTACACACAGCGCCAGTGCACACAGCAAGTGCACAGGAAGATGAGTTTTGGCCCCTAACCGCTCCGTGATGCCTACCAAGTCACAGACCCTTTTCATCGTCCCAGAAACGTTTCATCACGTCTCTTCCCAGTCGATTCCCGACCCCACCTTTATTTTGATCTCCATAACCATTTTGCCTGTTGGAGAACTTCATATAGAATGGAATCAGGCTGGGCGCTGTGGCTCACGCCTGCACTTTGGGAGGCCGAGGCGGGCGGATTACTTGAGGATAGGAGTTCCAGACCAGCGTGGCCAACGTGGTGAATCCCCGTCTCTACTAAAAAATACAAAAATTAGCTGGGCGTGGTGGGTGCCTGTAATCCCAGCTATTCGGGAGGGTGAGGCAGGAGAATCGCTTGAACCCGGGAGGCAGAGGTTGCAGTGAGCCAAGATCGTGCCACTACACTCCAGCCTGGGCGACAAGAACGAAACTCCGTCTCAAAAAAAAGGGGGGAATCATACATTATGTGCTCATTTTTGTCGGGCTTCTGTCCTTCAATGTACTGTCTGACATTCGTTCATGTTGTATATATCAGTATTTTGCTCCTTTTCATTTAGTATAGTCCATCGATTGTATATCCGTCCTTTTGATGGCCTTTTGAGTTGTTTCCCATTTGCGGTTATGAAATAAAGCTGCTATAAACATTCTTGTACAATTCTTTTTGTGATCATATGTTTTCGTGTTTCTTGGAGAAATACTTAGGAGGGGAATTGCGAGTTTGGAAGTAAAAAGTAGCTGTATTTTGAACTTTTTCAGAAGCTCTGAGTTTTCCAGAGCGGTTGTACCATTTTACACTCCAACTAGCAAGGTATGGGAGTTATTATGGTTGTGCCACAGCCTTCCGGACATTAGGTATTGTCAGTCTTTCTAATGTGGTATATCCTTGTGGTTGTAATTTACAGTTCTCTATTGACTAAGGATGTTCAGCATTTTTTCATGTGCCTATTGGCCATTCGTATTTTGTTTGTAAAGTAGCTCTTCGAGTCTTTTACCTGTTATTTTGGTTTTTTGTTTGTTTTTATTGTTCAGTTGTGGGACTGCTTTATACATTCTGGATACAAGTCCTTTATCAGATCCATGTGTCGTGAATGTTTTCTTCTGATCTGTTGCTTGCCTATTTGTTTGCTTTACAGAGTTTACAGTATCTTAAGAGGAGTGGATTTATCTTTTTTATGTTCAGTATTTGCCTTGTCCTGTTTAGGACATCTTTTTTTTTTTTTTTAACCCCAGGGTCATGAAGATATTATCTTACATTTTCTTTTAGGACCTTTATGGTTGTAAGTTTTACAGTAAGGTCCTTGAGCCATTAATTAATTCTTAAAATTAATTGTTTATGGTGTGAGGTGTAGGAGTCAGTCTCTGGTATCTTTCCTGTATGGAAATCCAGTTATTCTGTCTCCACTTGTTGAAATAGGCTTCCTTTCTCTACTGAATGCTTTTAATTTTAATTATTTTACAGTTGGAGTATAGGGCTACCATTTTAGTGCTATTTTCTTTTTTTCTTTGTTAATTTTTGAGACAGGGACTCACACTGTTGCCCAGGCTAGAGTACAATGGCACAATCAAGGCTTACTGCAGCCTCGAACCCCTGGGCTCAAGCAGTCCTCTAGCAGCCTCACGAGTAGCTGGGATTACTCCACCACACCCAGCTAACTATTTTATTTTTTTGTATTGACAGGATCTCACTATGTTGCCCAGGCTGGTCTCAAACTGCTGGCCTCAAGCTTTCATCCCATCTCGGCCTCCCAAAGTGCTGGGATTACAGGTGTGAGCCACCATGCCTGACCTCTTAGTGCTATTTTCTATTTATCTCCTCTGTTCTCTGCTCTCTTTAAACGTTGGAGGAAGAAACAGTACCCATCTTACACAAACTCTTCAGAAAACAGAGGAACAGACTGGGCGCGGTGGCTCATACCTGTAATCTCAGCACTTTGGTACGCTGAGGCAGGGGATCATTTGAGGTCGGGAGTTCGAGACCAGCCTGGCCAACACGGCGAAACCCCATCTCTACTAAAAATACAAAAAGTAGCTAGGCGTGGTGACACATACCTGTAATGCCAGTTACTCAGGAGGCTGAGGCACAAGAATCCCTTGAACCTGGGAAGCGGAGGTTGCAGTGAGCCGAGATTGCGCCACTGCACTCCAGCCTGGGCAACAGAGTGAGACCCTGTCTCAGAAAAAAAAAGAAAGAAAGAAAAAATAGAGGAATATTTCCCAACTTGTTTTCGAAGCCAGCATAATCCTGGTACCAAAACCAAACAAGGACATTATAAGAAAAGAAAATATAGACCAATATTCCTGTTAGCATAGACATGCAACAGCTAACCAATTTTAGCAAACCAAACCTGGTAATATAGAAAAAAGGATAAATAGGCCAGTCGCGGTGGCTCACGCCTGTAATCCCAGCACTTTGGGAGGCTGAGGCAGGCAGATCACTTGAGGTCAGGAGTTTGAGACCAGCCTGACCAACATGGTGAAACCCCGTTTCTAATAAAAATACAAAAATCAGGCTGGGCACGGTGGCTCACGCCTGTAATCCCAGCACTTTGGGAGGCCGAGGTGGGCAGATCACGAGGTCAGGAGTTCAAGACCAGCCTGACCAATGTGGTGAAACGCCATCTCTACTAAAAATACAAAAATCAGCCGGTGTGGTGGCACCTGCCTGTAATCCCAGCTACTCAGGAGGCTGAGGCAGAATTGCTTGAACCCGGGAGGCAGAGGTTGCAGTGAGCCAAGATCGTGCCACTGCACTCCAGCCTGGGCGACAGAGCAAGACTTCATCTCAAAAAAAAAAAAAAATTAGCTGGGCATGGTGGTGGGCACCTGAAATCCCAGCTACTCGGGAGTCTGAGGCAGGAGAATCGCTTGAACCCAGGAGGCAGAAGTTGCACTGAGCTGGGATCACACCATTGCACTCCAGCCTGGGCAACAGAGTGAGACTCCATCTCAAAAAAAGAAAAAGAAAAAGGATAAATACATTCTAACCAAATAATGTTTATCTCATGATTGTAGCTGATTCAACATTCAAAAATTGGCCTGGTGCAGTAGCTCAGGCCTGTAATCCCAACATTTTAGGAGGCTGAGGCAGGAAGATCTCTTGAGCCCAGGATTTCAAGACCAGCCTGGGCAACATAGTCAGACTGGTCTTTACTGGGGGGAAAAAAATCAGTCTGTGTAATTCACCACATTAACAAAGGGAAACATAAAAACCCTATGATCATTTCAACAGATGTAGCAAAAGCAGTTAATGATATTCAACACATATGCATGATTACAAACCAACCAACCTCCTAGCAAACTAGGGAAAGGAAACTTAACCTAGTTTGATAACAGGGCGTCCACAGTCGGAGTTCCACTAGCAGCATACATAATGGTAGAAAACTCAGTGCTGCCGGGCGCGGTGGCTCACGCCTGTAATGCCAGCACTTTGGGAGGCCTAGGCGGGCGGATCACGAGGTCAGGAGATCGAGACTGTCCTGACTAGCATGCTGAAACCCCGTCTCTACTAAAAATACAAAAACAAAAAATTAGCCGGGCATGGTGGCGGGCGCCTATAGTCCCAGCTACTCGGGAGGCTGAGGCGAGAGAATGGCGTGAACCCGGGAGGCGGAGCTTGCAGAGCCTAGATCGTGCCACTGCACTCCAGCCTGGGTGACAGAGTGAGACTTCGTCTCAAAAAAAAAAAAAAAAAAAAAAGAAAAGAAAACTCAACGCTTTTTCCTCTAAGATCAGGAACTAGAAAAGGATTTGACTCTCACAACGTTGATACCATACTGGAGGTTTTAACCAGGCAAGAAAAAGAAATAATGAGGGCCGGGTGCGGTGGCTCAGGCCTGTAATCCCAGCACTTTGGGAAGCCGAGACGGGTGGATCACGAGGTCAGGAGATCGAGACCATCCTGGCTAACACGGTGAAACCCTGTCTCTACTAAATATACAAAAAATTAGCCGGGCGTAGTGGCGGGCGCCTGTAGTCCCAGCTACTCGGGAGGCTGAGGCAGGAGAATGGCGTGAACTCAGGGGGCGGAGCTTGCAGTGAGCTGAGATCGAGCCACTGCACTCCAGCCTGGGCGACAGAGCAAGACTGTGTCTCAAAAAAAAAAAAAGAAAAAGAAATAATGATTAGTGGCCCGATGTCTCACGCCTATAATCCCAGCACTTTGGGAGGCCGAGGTGGGCAGATCACCTGAGGTCTGGAGTTGGAGACCAGCCTGACAAAGATGGTGAAACCTCGTCTCTATTAAAATATTAAAAAAATAGCCAGGCGTTGGCCGGGTACAGTGGCTCATGCCTGTAATCCCAGCACTTTGGGAGGCCGAGGTGGGTGGATCACCTGAGGTCAGGAGTTCAACACCAGCCTGGCCAACATGGTGAAACCCCATCTCTACTAAAAATACAAAAATTAGCCGGGCGTAGTGGCGGGCGCCTGTAATCCCAGCTACTTGGGAGGCTTAGGCAGGAGAATCGCTTGAACCTGGGAGGCGGAGGTTGTAGTGAGCCGAGATTGCACCATTGCACTCCAGCCTGGGTGACAAAAGCAAAAACTCCGTCTCAAAAAAAAAAGAATTAGCCAGGGGTAGTGGTGAACGCCTGTAGTCCCAGCTACTCAGGAGGCAGAGGCAGGAGAATCACTTGAACCCAGGAGGCAGAGGTTGCAGTGAGCCGAGATTGTCCCATTGCACTCCAGCCTAGGCGACAAGAGCAAAATTCCATGTCAAAAAAAAAAAAAAAAAAGGAAAGAAAAAAAATAACGATTAGAAAGGAAGAAATAAAACACATTCACAGCCAGTATGATTCTATACATACATGTCCTAATGGGGCCAGGCGTGGTGGCTCATGCCTGTAATCCTAGCACTTTTAGGAGGCTGAGGCAGGTGGCTTCCCTGGGACCAGCCTGGCCAACATGGTGAAACCCCAACTCTAATAAAAATACAAAAAATCAGCCAGGCGTGGTGACGGGCACCTCTAATCCCAGCTACTCAGGAGGCTGAGGCAGGAGAATTGCTTGGACCTGGGAGGCAGAGGTTGCAGTGAGCCGAGATCGCGCTATTGCACTCCAGCCTGGGCAACAAGAGTGAAACTCCGGCAGGGTGTGGTGGCTTACGCCTGTAATCCCAGCACTTCGGGAGGCTGAGGCAGGCCGATCACCTGAGGTCAGGAGTTTGAGACCAACCTAACATGGTGAAACCCCGTCTCTACTAAAAATACAAGAATTAGCTGGGTGTAGTGGTGGGCGCCTGTAATCCCAGCTACTTGGGAGGCTGAGACAGAAGAATTGCTTGAACCCAGGAGGTGGAGGTTGCAGTGAGCTGAGATCATGCCATTGCACACCACGCCGGGCAACAGAGCGAGATTCCGTCTCAAAAAAAAAAAAAAAGAGTGAAACTCTATCTCAAAAAAAAAAAAAAGTCCTAATGGAAAATCCATAAAAAGCTACCAAAACTAATAAATAAATATAGCAGGGTTGCAGGTTACAGGGCAATATAGTTATCCCTCTATCTGTAGGGGCTTGGTTCTGGGACTCCTCACACACCAAACCCACAGATGTCTAAGTCCCATATATAAGACGGTATAGTATTTGGATTTAACCTACACATATCCTCCCATATAGTTTAAATTATCTCTAGATTACTTACATTACCCCCATACAATGAAAATGCTAATGTACATGCAAGTATGTATGTAAGTACTTGTACTATATTGTTTAGGGAATCACTGGACATATAGGCCTTCAAGACTGATACCAGCAGCCACTGTTAAGATTCTGGTCAGGCCTGCCCCTGTTTGGGGTCTCAGTTGATCTCATTGCCTTCCCACCCAGCCAAGGGCACCTGCATTTCTCTTGGCTCCCTGGCCATTTGGAAGGCCTAGTTCAGCCTGGCACATTTGTATCCTGGCCCACTGATGCTGGTACCCCTGGGAAGGTCCTGCTCTGAAAAACACGGAGATTTTAGTTGCTACTGAAGATTTGAGAGATAAAGACAGGGAGACCTGTCTGTAGACCTGTGTCCCTCCAAGTGGGATTGAGACTTTGGGCCCCCCATTTCAGGACAGCACCTCCTGGCCTGTTGACTGAATAGATCCCTGAAGGAGGTGTACTTGCATTAATGGAGTGGGGGTGGGAGCAGTACCACAGATCCGCACTAACAATCACACAGTTCTCTCTAGAATAATAATATAGAACAAGTGAAATAGAACAATTGCAGAAAGAGCTAACCTTTGTTGAGCTCTTACTGTGTGCCCAGCACTTTCCTCAACTCTACATTTCCCATAATACACAGAGTACTAGGTAGGCCAGGCTTGGTGGCTCACGCCTGTAATCCCAGCACTTTAGGAGGCCAAGGGGGGTGGATCACCTGAGGTCGGGAGTTCAAGACCAGCCTGACCAACATGGTGAAACCCCGTCTCTACTAGAAGTACAAAATTAGCCAGGTGTGGTGGCACATGCTTGTAGTCCTAGCTACTCAGCAGGCTGAGGCAGGAGAATCATTTGAATCCGGGAGGAGGTTGCAGTAAGCGGAGATAGTGCCACTGTACTCCAGCCTGGGCAATAAGAGCTGAGACTCCGTCTCAAAATAAAATAAAATAAAATAAAATAAAATAAAATAAAATAAAAAAAGAAAAGAGCCTGCCATTAAAGGAGCTGTTTGGTAGGGGATGTTTTGTCAGTGCAAACAACAGAAAAGTGGGCTGGGCACAGTGGTTCATGCCTGTAATCCCAGCACTTTGGGAGGCCAAGGCGGGCGGATCACCTGAAGTTGGGAGTTCAAGACCAGCCTGACCAATATGGAGAAACCCCGTCTCTACTAAAAATACAAAATTAGCCGGGCGCAGTGGCGCATGCCTGTAATCCCAGCTACTCGGGAGGCTGAGGCAGGAGAATCGCTTGAACCTGGGAGGCAGAGGTTGCGGTGAGCCGAGATCGCACCATTGCACTCCAGCCTGGACGAGAGCAAAACTCTGTCTCAAAAAAAAAAAAAAACAGAAAAGTGTAACAAACACTTACAGTAGGCATGTTTCTTAGCAAATCTGATGACAAATTTGGCATAAAGAAAGAGAGCATCCCTGAAAAAAAAAAAAAGAAAAAGAAAGAGAGCATCCTGCCTGGGCAACATAGTGAAACCCTGCCTCTACAAAAAAACTCAAAAATTGGCCGGGTGCAGTGGCTCACACCTGTAATCCCAGCACTTTGGGAGTCGGAGGCGGGAGGATCACCTGAGGTCAGGAGTTCGAAACCAGCCTGGCCAACATGGCAAAACCCCATCTCTACTAAAAATACAAAAAATTAATCAGGCGCATTGGTGGGCGCCTGTAATCCCAGCTACTCAGGAAGTTGAGGCAAGAGGATCGCTTGAATCTGGGAGGTGGAGGTTACAGTGAGTCGAGATCACACCACTGCACTCTAGCCTGGGTGACAGGGCGAGACTCCGTCTCCAAAAAAAAAAAGAAAAAGAAAAAGACTAAAAAATTAGCCAGGCAGGCCTCTGTGGTCCCAGCTACTTGGGAGGCTGAGGCAGGAGAATCACTGAGCCCAGGAGTCCGAGGCTGTAGTGAGCCATGATTGCACCACTGTACCCTAGCTTGGGCAACAAAGCAAGACCCTGCCTCAAAAGAAAAAAGAAAGAAAGAAAGAACATGGCGGGCCAGGCACAGTGGCTCACACCTGTAATCCCAGCGCTTTGAGAGGCCGAGGCAGGTGGATCACAAGGTCAGGAGTTCCACACCAGCCTGGCCAACATGGTGAAACCCTGTCTCTACTAAAAATACAAAAAATCAGCCAGGCATGGTGGCAGGGGCCTGTAATCCCAGCTACTCGGGAGGCTGAGGCAGGAGAATTGCTTGAAACCAGAAGGCAGAGGTTGCAGTGAGCCTAGACTGCACCACTGCACTCCAGCCTGGGCGAAAAGAGCCAAACTCCATCTCAAAAAACAAACAAAAAAACAAAACAAAAGAAAACATGGCAAAGCCTTTGAAAGCTTGTCTGGGAGAAGGTGCGATGATAGTTGCATAACTTCGTGCAAGATGCTGGTCCACACAGGGGCTGCCCCTTGCTCTTTCTCGCTCTCTTAACCTCTCATATAACAGGCTTGTGTGTTATTCACATTTATTGAGCCCAAGCAGGTGCAAGGCATTGTGATCTAATACTTTGGTCAGCAAGACAACAAGATAGATCACTGCCCTGCCCTTAGGAAGTGTATATGCTATTAGAGGAAACAGATAAAATAAACAAGGAAAAGTATCAGACAATGTAAGTGCTATGAGAATGCAAATGAGGTGATGTGAATTAAAATAGGATGACTTAAAGTCTGCACGGGAAGGAGCCTACCCCCATGTTCCTGGCTAGCCAAGGAACCACCAGTTGATTAGCAGAGAAGGGCAGCCAGTCTAGCTAGAGCTTTTGGGGAAGAGGGAGTGGTTGTTAAGAGATGAGATTAAAGAAGCCGAGACGGGCCATTCGTGAGGGGTTTGTAATGCAGGGCTGAGGAGTGTCCGAAGAGAATGGGCAGGTGAGCGGTGAGACAGTTGTTCTTCCAGAAGCTTTGCAGTGAAAGGAATCAAAGAAATGGAGCCGTGTATCAGGTGGGGAAGGGTGGGGGCCAAGGGGGTGTCCTTCCCCATACAGAGATTGCAGGCTGAGAATGACTATATCCTTGTTAACAGGAGGTGGGAGCAGGGCACGGTAGCTCACACCTGTAATCTTGGCACTTTAGGAGGCTGAGGCGGGCCGATCACCTGAAGTAAGGAGTTCGAGACCAGCCTGGCCAACATGCAAAGCCCTGTCTCTACTAAAAATACAAAAATTAGCTGGGTGTGGTGGTACTCGCCTGTAATCCCAGCTACTCGGGAGACTGAGGCAGGAGAATGGCTTGAACCCGGAAGGTAGAGGTTGCAGTGAGCTGAGATCATGCCACTGTGCTCCAGCCTAGGTGACAGAGAGAGACTCCATCTCAAAAAAAAAAAAAAAATACAGGAAGGGAGTTGGGAATAGGGTGCACATTTAGGAAGTCTTGGGGATTTAGTGGTGGGAAGGTTGGAAGTCCCTCTCTGATTGTCTTTTCCTCAAAGAAGTGCATGGCTGGTGAGGGGTGGGGCAGGAGTGCTTGGGTTGTGGTGAAACATTGGAAGAGAGAATGTGAAGCAGCCATTCTTTTCCTGCTCCACAGGAAGCCGAGCTGTCTCAGACACTGGCATGGTGTTGGGGGAGGGGGTTCCTTCTCTGCAGGCCCAGGTGACCCAGGGTTGGAAGTGTCTCATGCTGGATCCCCACTTTTCCTCTTGCAGCAGCCAGACTGCCTTCCGGGTCACTGCCATGGAGGAGCCGCAGTCAGATCCTAGCGTCGAGCCCCCTCTGAGTCAGGAAACATTTTCAGACCTATGGAAACTGTGAGTGGATCCATTGGAAGGGCAGGCCCACCACCCCCACCCCAACCCCAGCCCCCTAGCAGAGACCTGTGGGAAGCGAAAATTCCATGGGACTGACTTTCTGCTCTTGTCTTTCAGACTTCCTGAAAACAACGTTCTGGTAAGGACAAGGGTTGGGCTGGGGACCTGGAGGGCTGGGGACCTGGAGGGCTGGGGGGCTGGGGGGCTGAGGACCTGGTCCTCTGACTGCTCTTTTCACCCATCTACAGTCCCCCTTGCCGTCCCAAGCAATGGATGATTTGATGCTGTCCCCGGACGATATTGAACAATGGTTCACTGAAGACCCAGGTCCAGATGAAGCTCCCAGAATGCCAGAGGCTGCTCCCCCCGTGGCCCCTGCACCAGCAGCTCCTACACCGGCGGCCCCTGCACCAGCCCCCTCCTGGCCCCTGTCATCTTCTGTCCCTTCCCAGAAAACCTACCAGGGCAGCTACGGTTTCCGTCTGGGCTTCTTGCATTCTGGGACAGCCAAGTCTGTGACTTGCACGGTCAGTTGCCCTGAGGGGCTGGCTTCCATGAGACTTCAATGCCTGGCCGTATCCCCCTGCATTTCTTTTGTTTGGAACTTTGGGATTCCTCTTCACCCTTTGGCTTCCTGTCAGTGTTTTTTTATAGTTTACCCACTTAATGTGTGATCTCTGACTCCTGTCCCAAAGTTGAATATTCCCCCCTTGAATTTGGGCTTTTATCCATCCCATCACACCCTCAGCATCTCTCCTGGGGATGCAGAACTTTTCTTTTTCTTCATCCACGTGTATTCCTTGGCTTTTGAAAATAAGCTCCTGACCAGGCTTGGTGGCTCACACCTGCAATCCCAGCACTCTCAAAGAGGCCAAGGCAGGCAGATCACCTGAGCCCAGGAGTTCAAGACCAGCCTGGGTAACATGATGAAACCTCGTCTCTACAAAAAAATACAAAAAATTAGCCAGGCATGGTGGTGCACACCTATAGTCCCAGCCACTTAGGAGGCTGAGGTGGGAAGATCACTTGAGGCCAGGAGATGGAGGCTGCAGTGAGCTGTGATCACACCACTGTGCTCCAGCCTGAGTGACAGAGCAAGACCCTATCTCAAAAAAAAAAAAAAAAAAGAAAAGCTCCTGAGGTGTAGACGCCAACTCTCTCTAGCTCGCTAGTGGGTTGCAGGAGGTGCTTACGCATGTTTGTTTCTTTGCTGCCGTCTTCCAGTTGCTTTATCTGTTCACTTGTGCCCTGACTTTCAACTCTGTCTCCTTCCTCTTCCTACAGTACTCCCCTGCCCTCAACAAGATGTTTTGCCAACTGGCCAAGACCTGCCCTGTGCAGCTGTGGGTTGATTCCACACCCCCGCCCGGCACCCGCGTCCGCGCCATGGCCATCTACAAGCAGTCACAGCACATGACGGAGGTTGTGAGGCGCTGCCCCCACCATGAGCGCTGCTCAGATAGCGATGGTGAGCAGCTGGGGCTGGAGAGACGACAGGGCTGGTTGCCCAGGGTCCCCAGGCCTCTGATTCCTCACTGATTGCTCTTAGGTCTGGCCCCTCCTCAGCATCTTATCCGAGTGGAAGGAAATTTGCGTGTGGAGTATTTGGATGACAGAAACACTTTTCGACATAGTGTGGTGGTGCCCTATGAGCCGCCTGAGGTCTGGTTTGCAACTGGGGTCTCTGGGAGGAGGGGTTAAGGGTGGTTGTCAGTGGCCCTCCAGGTGAGCAGTAGGGGGGCTTTCTCCTGCTGCTTATTTGACCTCCCTATAACCCCATGAGATGTGCAAAGTAAATGGGTTTAACTATTGCACAGTTGAAAAAACTGAAGCTTACAGAGGCTAAGGGCCTCCCCTGCTTGGCTGGGCGCAGTGGCTCATGCCTGTAATCCCAGCACTTTGGGAGGCCAAGGCAGGCGGATCACGAGGTTGGGAGATCGAGACCATCCTGGCTAACGGTGAAACCCCGTCTCTACTGAAAAATACAAAAAAAAATTAGCCGGGCGTGGTGCTGGGCACCTGTAGTCCCAGCTACTCGGGAGGCTGAGGAAGGAGAATGGCGTGAACCTGGGCGGTGGAGCTTGCAGTGAGCTGAGATCACGCCACTGCACTCCAGCCTGGGCGACAGAGCGAGATTCCATCTCAAAAAAAAAAAAAAAAGGCCTCCCCTGCTTGCCACAGGTCTCCCCAAGGCGCACTGGCCTCATCTTGGGCCTGTGTTATCTCCTAGGTTGGCTCTGACTGTACCACCATCCACTACAACTACATGTGTAACAGTTCCTGCATGGGCGGCATGAACCGGAGGCCCATCCTCACCATCATCACACTGGAAGACTCCAGGTCAGGAGCCACTTGCCACCCTGCACACTGGCCTGCTGTGCCCCAGCCTCTGCTTGCCTCTGACCCCTGGGCCCACCTCTTACCGATTTCTTCCATACTACTACCCATCCACCTCTCATCACATCCCCGGCGGGGAATCTCCTTACTGCTCCCACTCAGTTTTCTTTTCTCTGGCTTTGGGACCTCTTAACCTGTGGCTTCTCCTCCACCTACCTGGAGCTGGAGCTTAGGCTCCAGAAAGGACAAGGGTGGTTGGGAGTAGATGGAGCCTGGTTTTTTAAATGGGACAGGTAGGACCTGATTTCCTTACTGCCTCTTGCTTCTCTTTTCCTATCCTGAGTAGTGGTAATCTACTGGGACGGAACAGCTTTGAGGTGCGTGTTTGTGCCTGTCCTGGGAGAGACCGGCGCACAGAGGAAGAGAATCTCCGCAAGAAAGGGGAGCCTCACCACGAGCTGCCCCCAGGGAGCACTAAGCGAGGTAAGCAAGCAGGACAAGAAGCGGTGGAGGAGACCAAGGGTGCAGTTATGCCTCAGATTCACTTTTATCACCTTTCCTTGCCTCTTTCCTAGCACTGCCCAACAACACCAGCTCCTCTCCCCAGCCAAAGAAGAAACCACTGGATGGAGAATATTTCACCCTTCAGGTACTAAGTCTTGGGACCTCTTATCAAGTGGAAAGTTTCCAGTCTAACACTCAAAATGCCGTTTTCTTCTTGACTGTTTTACCTGCAATTGGGGCATTTGCCATCAGGGGGCAGTGATGCCTCAAAGACAATGGCTCCTGGTTGTAGCTAACTAACTTCAGAACACCAACTTATACCATAATATATATTTTAAAGGACCAGACCAGCTTTCAAAAAGAAAATTGTTAAAGAGAGCATGAAAATGGTTCTATGACTTTGCCTGATACAGATGCTACTTGACTTACGATGGTGTTACTTCCTGATAAACTCGTCGTAAGTTGAAAATATTGTAAGTTGAAAATGGATTTAATACACCTAATCTAAGGAACATCATAGCTTAGCCTAGCCTGCTTTTTTTTTTTTTTTTTTTGGAGACAGAGTCTCACTCTGTCACCCAGGCTGGAGTGCAGTGGCGGGATCTCGGCTCACTGCAACCTCCGCCTTCTGGGTTCAAGCGATTCTCCTGCCTCAGCCCACTGAGTAGCTGGGATTACAGGCACCTGCCCCGACGCCCAGCTAATTTTTTGTTATTTATTTATTTTTTTTTTTAGTAGAGATGAGGTTTCACCATGTTGGCCAGGCTAGTCTCGAACTCCTGACCTTGTGATCTGCCTGCCTTGGCCTCCCAAAGTGCTGGGATTACAGGCGTGAGCCACCGCACCCGGCCTGCCTAGCCTACTTTTATTTTATTTTTAATGGAGACAGCATCTTGCTCTGTTGCCCAGGCTGGATTACAGTGATGTGATCATAGCTCATTATACCCTCCTGGGCTCAAGCAATCCCCCTAACTCTGCCTCCCCAGTAGCTAGGACCACAGGCATACACCACCATACCCAGCTAATTTTTAAAATTTTTTGTAGATAGATAGAGTCTCACTATGTTGCCCAGGCTGGTCTCTAGCCTACTTTTTTGAGACAAGGTCTTGCTCTGTCACCCAGGCTGGATAGAGTGCAGTAGTGCAGTCACAGCTCACTGCAGCCTCCACCTCCCAGGCTCCATCCATCCTCCCAGCTCAGCCTCCCAAGTTGCTTCAACTACAGGCCTGCACCACCATGCCTGGCTAATTTTTATTTATTTATTTTTATTTTATTTTATTTTATTTTTTTGAGACTCAGTCTCACTCTGTCGCCCAGGCTGGAGTGCAGTGGCATGATCTCGGCTCACTGCAACCTCTGCCTCCTGGGTTCAAGTGATTCTCCTGCCTCAGCCTCCCGAATAGCTAGGACTACAAGCGCCTGCTACCACGCCCAGCTAATTTTTGTATTTTTAGTAGAGACAGGGTTTCACCATGTTGGCCAGGCTGGTCTCGAACTTCTGACCATGTGATCCGCCCGCCTCGGCCTCCCAAAGTGCTGGGATTACAGGTGTGAGCCACCACGCCCGGCTAATTTTTATTTATTTATTTAAAGACAGAGTCTCACTCTGTCACTCAGGCTAGAGTGCAGTGGCACCATCTCAGCTCACTGCAGCCTTGACCTCCCTGGGCTCCGGTGATTTCACCCTCCCAAGTAGCTAGGACTACAGGCACATGCCACGACACCCAGCTAATTTTTTATTTTCTGTGAAGTCAAGGTCTTGCTACGTTGCCCATGCTGGTATCAAACCCCTGGGCTCAATCAATCCTTCCACCTCAGCCTCCCCAAGTATTGGGGTTACAGGCATGAGCTACCACACTCAGCCCTAGCCTACTTGAAACGTGTTCAGAGCATTTAAGTTACCCTACAGTTGGGCAAAGTCATCTAACACAAAGCCCTTTTTATAGTAATAAAATGTTGTATATCTCATGTGATTTATTGAATATTGTTACTGAAAGTGAGAAACAGCATGGTTGCATGAAAGGAGGCACAGTCGAGCCAGGCACAGCCTGGGCGCAGAGCGAGACTCAAAAAAAGAAAAGGCCAGGCGCACTGGCTCACGCCTGTAATCCCAGCATTTCGGGAGGCTGAGGCGGGTGGATCACCTGAGGTCAGGAGTTCAAGACCAGCCTAGCCAACATGGTGAAACCCCGTCTCTACTAAAATACAAAAATTAACCGGGCGTGATGGCAGGTGCCTGTAATCCCAGCTACTTGGGAGGCTGAGGCAGGAGAATCGCTTGAACCAGGAGGCGGAGGTTGCAGGGAGCCAAGATGGCGCCACTGCACTCCAGCCTGGGCGATAGAGTGAGACTCCGTCTCAGAAAAAAAAGAAAAGAAACGAGGCACAGTCGCATGCACATGTAGTCCCAGTTACTTGAGAGGCTAAGGCAGGAGGATCTCTTGAGCCCAAGAGTTTGAGTCCAGCCTGAACAACATAGCAAGACATCATCTCTAAAATTTAAAAAAGGGCCGGGCACAGTGGCTCACACCTGTAATCCCAGCACTTTGGGAGGTGGAGGTGGGTAGATCACCTGACGTCAGGAGTTGGAAACCAGCCTGGCTAACATGGTGAAGCCCCATCTCTACTAAAAACACAAAAATTAGCCAGGTGTGGTAGCACACGCCTGTAGTCCCAGCTACTCGGGAGGCTGAGGCACAAGAATCACTTGAACCCCAGAGGCGGAGATTGCAATCAGCCAAGATTGCACCATTGCACTCCCGCCTGGGCAACAGAGTGAGACCCCATCTCAAAATAAATAAATAAATATTTTTAAAAGTCAGCTGTATAGGTACTTGAAGTGCAGTTTCTACTAAATGCATGTTGCTTTTGTACCGTCATAAAGTCAAACAATTGTAACTTGAACCATCTTTTAACTCAGGTACTGTGTATATACTTACTTCTCCCCCTCCTCTGTTGCTGCAGATCCGTGGGCGTGAGCGCTTCGAGATGTTCCGAGAGCTGAATGAGGCCTTGGAACTCAAGGATGCCCAGGCTGGGAAGGAGCCAGGGGGGAGCAGGGCTCACTCCAGGTGAGTGACCTCAGCCCCTTCCTGGCCCTACTCCCCTGCCTTCCTAGGTTGGAAAGCCATAGGATTCCATTCTCATCCTGCCTTCATGGTCAAAGGCAGCTGACCCCATCTCATTGGGTCCCAGCCCTGCACAGACATTTTTTTAGTCTTCCTCCGGTTGAATCCTATAACCACATTCTTGCCTCAGTGTATCCACAGAACATCCAAACCCAGGGACGAGTGTGGATACTTCTTTGCCATTCTCCGCAACTCCCAGCCCAGAGCTGGAGGGTCTCAAGGAGGGGCCTAATAATTGTGTAATACTGAATACAGCCAGAGTTTCAGGTCATATACTCAGCCCTGCCATGCACCGGCAGGTCCTAGGTGACCCCCGTCAAACTCAGTTTCCTTATATATAAAATGGGGTAAGGGGGCCGGGCGCAGTGGCTCACGAATCCCACACTCTGGGAGGCCAAGGCGAGTGGATCACCTGAGGTCGGGAGTTTGAGCCCAGCCTGACCAACATGGAGAAACCCCATCTCTACTAAAAATACAAAAGTAGCCGGGCGTGGTGATGCATGCCTGTAATCCCAGCTACCTACTCGGGAGGCTGAGGCAGGAGAATCGCTTGAACCCGGGAGGCAGAGGTTGCGGTGAGCTGAGATCTCACCATTACACTCCAGCCTGGGCAACAAGAGTGAAACTCCGTCTCAAAAAAGATAAATAAAGTAAAATGGGGTAAGGGAAGATTACGAGACTAATACACACTAATACTCTGAGGTGCTCAGTAAACATATTTGCATGGGGTGTGGCCACCATCTTGATTTGAATTCCCGTTGTCCCAGCCTTAGGCCCTTCAAAGCATTGGTCAGGGAAAAGGGGCACAGACCCTCTCACTCATGTGATGTCATCTCTCCTCCCTGCTTCTGTCTCCTACAGCCACCTGAAGTCCAAAAAGGGTCAGTCTACCTCCCGCCATAAAAAACTCATGTTCAAGACAGAAGGGCCTGACTCAGACTGACATTCTCCACTTCTTGTTCCCCACTGACAGCCTCCCACCCCCATCTCTCCCTCCCCTGCCATTTTGGGTTTTGGGTCTTTGAACCCTTGCTTGCAATAGGTGTGCGTCAGAAGCACCCAGGACTTCCATTTGCTTTGTCCCGGGGCTCCACTGAACAAGTTGGCCTGCACTGGTGTTTTGTTGTGGGGAGGAGGATGGGGAGTAGGACATACCAGCTTAGATTTTAAGGTTTTTACTGTGAGGGATGTTTGGGAGATGTAAGAAATGTTCTTGCAGTTAAGGGTTAGTTTACAATCAGCCACATTCTAGGTAGGGGCCCACTTCACCGTACTAACCAGGGAAGCTGTCCCTCACTGTTGAATTTTCTCTAACTTCAAGGCCCATATCTGTGAAATGCTGGCATTTGCACCTACCTCACAGAGTGCATTGTGAGGGTTAATGAAATAATGTACATCTGGCCTTGAAACCACCTTTTATTACATGGGGTCTAGAACTTGACCCCCTTGAGGGTGCTTGTTCCCTCTCCCTGTTGGTCGGTGGGTTGGTAGTTTCTACAGTTGGGCAGCTGGTTAGGTAGAGGGAGTTGTCAAGTCTCTGCTGGCCCAGCCAAACCCTGTCTGACAACCTCTTGGTGAACCTTAGTACCTAAAAGGAAATCTCACCCCATCCCACACCCTGGAGGATTTCATCTCTTGTATATGATGATCTGGATCCACCAAGACTTGTTTTATGCTCAGGGTCAATTTCTTTTTTCTTTTTTTTTTTTTTTTTTCTTTTTCTTTGAGACTGGGTCTCGCTTTGTTGCCCAGGCTGGAGTGGAGTGGCGTGATCTTGGCTTACTGCAGCCTTTGCCTCCCCGGCTCGAGCAGTCCTGCCTCAGCCTCCGGAGTAGCTGGGACCACAGGTTCATGCCACCATGGCCAGCCAACTTTTGCATGTTTTGTAGAGATGGGGTCTCACAGTGTTGCCCAGGCTGGTCTCAAACTCCTGGGCTCAGGCGATCCACCTGTCTCAGCCTCCCAGAGTGCTGGGATTACAATTGTGAGCCACCACGTCCAGCTGGAAGGGTCAACATCTTTTACATTCTGCAAGCACATCTGCATTTTCACCCCACCCTTCCCCTCCTTCTCCCTTTTTATATCCCATTTTTATATCGATCTCTTATTTTACAATAAAACTTTGCTGCCACCTGTGTGTCTGAGGGGTGAACGCCAGTGCAGGCTACTGGGGTCAGCAGGTGCAGGGGTGAGTGAGGAGGTGCTGGGAAGCAGCCACCTGAGTCTGCAATGAGTGTGGGCTGGGGGGCCCAGTGCCCGGGTTCCGGGAGGGGAACAAAGGCTGGAGACTGGGTCAGTCTGCGGGCTGCATGACAACAAGGGAGGGGGTGGCTCCATTCATAACTCAGGAACCAACCGTCCCTCCTCCCCTCCGGCCACGGCTGGCACAAGGTTCTCTCCCTCCCCTGCTTCTAGGACTGGGCTGCTTCCCCCTCGGCAGCCTCTCACCAAGGATTACGGGATTTAAATGTCTGATTTAGCAAGGCTGAGCCTCCAGGGTGGCCATCTGCTCCATCAGAAAGTGGCAGGATACCTGGGTTCCCAAGGGGAACAGGGGTGGGTGCTACTGGATGGAGAGAGGCCAGTGGGAGGCCTGCTAGCCAGGGTCCCAGGAAAGTGGGGGCAGCTAAGGTAAGAGTAGGGGTGTGGGGCTAGGTCCTTCCCAGCATCCCCTCATCCTGGGCCTCATGCCAGGTAGCTGAATGAATTGAAGCTTTAAACTCTGCCAGGAAAACCTTTCAAAGGGCTTCTTGGGATAGGGAGGAGAGTCGGGTTGAGGAGCTCAGTACTGCCTGCCCATGCTCCTCAGGGCTGCTGGCTCCCAGGGAGGGGGGCTGGGAGCAGGCAGGCTCTTCCCCATCACCCACTGCTCTCTTGGAGCCAGTGCTTGAAGGGGCAGTCAGACATGGCTTGCCCTTCCTCCTCCCTGGTGGTGGAGATGGGTGTTAGGGTCCAGTGGGTGCTACTGTCCAGGGGGGCTTCTGGGGCCACCAGCCTGTCAGCTCATCAACCAGGCTGAAGGTGCAAGCAGGAGCCCCTTGCCTTGCCCCAAGGATCCCAGACAGCTATGAAGCCACCAGCCTTCCTGACCTCAAGACCACCTTTTTTTTTTCTCTTTCTTACTAGGGAATGCCAAACACTCTCCCCAGGAGATCCAGACCCGCCTCTTTCAGAGACTTTTAACTTAAACATCTGTCCCTACCCAGCAGGCAAACTAGAGCTCCTGAAGCTCAGTCCCTGTCCTTGCCTCTGTAGACAGGTCACCTTGATGAGCTTCCTTTTTTTTTTTTTAATTTTTTTTTATTTTAGGCTTTATTGGGGCATAATTGATCCCCCAAAATTGCATACATTCAAGGTATGCAGTGTGATGATTTGATATGGGGGTATATTGTGAAACCATTACCACAATCAAATTAATCAGCACGTCCATCATCACACACAGTTACCATTTGTGTGTGTGCACGTGTGTTCACCTACGACGAGGACACTTGGACCTACTCTGCAGATCTCAAGTAAACAGAAAATCTCCCTTTTTGACAACCATCCTCCACCCTTTCAATCCCAACCTTTTCCTAGATTATGTCCCTAGCTCTGTTTTTATTTCTGCTGTGCTGCTTCAGATCCATTCTGACTCTGCCAAACCCTTCTTTGTGAGCTGATAGATTGCTGGATTGAGAATTACAGCTGGGCGCGGTGGCTCACGCCTGTAATCCCAACACTGTGGGAGGCCAAGGCCGGCGGATCACTTGAGGTCAGGAGTTGGAGACCAGCCTGACCAACAAGATGAAACCCCATCTCTACTAAAAATACAAAATTAGCTGGGCATGGTGGTGCACGCCTGTAATCTCATCTTCTTGGGAGGCTGAGGCAGGAGAATTGCTTGAACCCGGGAGGTGGAGGTTGCAGTGAGCCAAGATCCTGCCATTGCACTCCAGCCTGGGCAACAACAGTGAAGCTCCATCTCAAAACACACAAAAAAAAGAAGTACAAAGTCTGAGACTTCAGGCCAGCTCTGCTACACTATATACTCTAACCTCTCTGGTCCTACTTGGTGACTTCTTTCCCTCTGGTCGTGTTCAAGTTCCCGTCCCATCCAGTCAAGCAGGTACTCATTGGTACCTTACCCTGTGCCAGGAGCTGTTCTAGGCCCTGGAAACCTATGGCAGACATGTTCCCTACCCTCCCACTCAAAGAGCCCAGGCCTTATCCTAATGAGATCTGAAATCAAATCTCCCAATTTCCTCATGGCTTCAGTCTAAACTTGTAATTCACAACCTTAAATCAATATGTTCTATTTTTTTATTTAGAAAACATTTCCGGCCAGGCACGGTGGATCACACCTGTAATCCCAGCTACTCGGGAGGCTGAGGCAGGAGAATCGCTTGAACCCAGGAGGCAGAGGGTTGCAGTGAGCCGAGATTGCGCCATTGCACTCTAGCCTGGGCAACAGAGCAAGACTCCATCTCAAAAAAGAAAAAAAAATGGAAGAAAAAAAAATTTCCCCCTCATTTTAGGAACACGAGGTCTCCAAATCTAAAATTCGTACTCTGAGGAGATTGAATAGCCTTAAATGCTTTCATCATTAAAAAGAAAAGAAAGGAACCTGGTATGCATCCTAAAAATGAAAAATATACCTACCTGTAATCCCAGCACACAGCACATTGGGAGGCTAAAGCAGGAGGATAACTTGAGGCCAGGAGTTTCAGATCAGCCTGGGCAACATAGCAACACCCCATTTCTTTTTCTTTTCTTTTTTTTTTGGAGACACAGTCTCGCTCTGTTACTCAGGCTGGAGTGCAGTGGCTCAATCTCAGCTCACTGCAAGCTCTGCCTCCCAGGTTCATGCCATTCTCCTGCCTCAGCCTCCCGAGTAGCTGGGACTACAGGCGCCCGCCACCACGCCTGGCTAATTTTTTGTATTTTTAGTAGAGACAGGGTTTCACCGTGTTAGCCAGGATGGTCTCGATCTCCTGACCTCGTGATCCGCCAGCCTTGGCCTCCTAAAGTACTGGGATTACAGGCGTGAGCCACTGCGCCTGGCCACAACACCCCATTTCTATTTTAATAAAATAAAATACTGTGAAAAACATTTACAATTTTTAAATTTTAATTTTAAAATTAAACTTATATTTATTCATTTGTGTGTGTGGGTTTTTTTTTTTTTTTTTTTTTGCTTTTTTTTTGAGATGGAGTGTCACTCTGTCACCCAGGCTGGAGTGCAGTGGCGTGATCTCTGCCTCCCGGTTCAAGTGATTCTCCTGCCATAGCCTCCCAAGTAGCTGGGACTACAGGTACACGCCACCACGCCGGGTTAATTTTTGTATTTTTAGTAGAGACAGGATTTCACTGTGTCGCCAGGCTAGCCTCGAACTCCTGACCTCAGGTGATTCGCCCACCTTGGCCTCCCAAAGTGCTGTGATTACAAGCGTGAGCCACCGTGCCCAGCCCAAAGTTGGTTTTAATAGCAGAAAATCTATCAACATAATTCAATATATTAAATTTAGAAAGAAAAATTATCTATCATATCAACAGATACTGAAAGGAATTTGATTAAATTTCAGTAGCCATTTCCTTAAAAAAGAAAACACTTTAACACAGTAATAGACTGATAATGGAATACCAATTTTCCTAATAAGTTAAACATTAAGATAATTTCAATTAAGGTCAAGAGCTGGGCCAGGTGCAGTGGCTCACACCTGTAATCCCAACACTTTGGAGGCCAAGGTGGGTGGATCACCTGAGGTCAGGAGTGGAGACCAGCCTGGCTGACAATAGTGAAATCCTGCCTCTACTAAAAACACAAAAAATTAGCTGGGCATGGTGGTGGGCACCTATAATCCCAGCTACTGGGAAGGCTGAGACAGGAGAATTGCTTGAACCTGGGAGGCGGAGGTTGCAGTGAGCAAAGATCACACCATTGCACTCCAGCCTGGGCGACAGAGCCAGAGTCAGTCTCAAAAAAAAAAAGAGGTGGCCACACCTATAATCCAAACATTTTGTGAGGCCAAGGCAGGAGAATTGCTTCAGGCCAAGAGTTGAACACCTCGTCAACATAGCCAGACCTCTCTCTAGATAGATAGATAGATGATAGATAGAGAGATAGATAGATGATAGATAGAGAGATAGATAGATGATAGATAGATAGATAGATAGATAGATAGATAGATAGATAGATAGATAGATAGATAGATAATCTGGCCGGGTGTGGAGGCTCACGCCTGTAATCCCAGCACTTTGGGAGGCTGAGGCGGGCAGATCACGAGGACAAGAGATTGAAACCATCCTGGCTAACAAGGTGAAACCCCGTCTCTACTAAAAATACAAAAAATTAGGCGGGTGTGGTGGCACGCGCCTGTAGTCCTAGCTATTCAGGAGGCTGAGACAGGAGAATTGCTTGAATCCGAAAGGCGGAGGTTGCAGCGAGCCGAGATCGTGCCACTGCACTCCAGCCTGGGTGACAGAGCAAGACTCCATCTCAAAATAAATAAATAAATAATCAAGAACAGTATAAGGGGCTGTATGGTGGCTCATGCCTGTGATCCCAGCACTTTGGGAGGCCAAGGTGGGAGGATCCCTTGAGACCAGCCCAGGCAACAGAGAAAGACCCTGTCTCTATTTAAAAAAATTAAAAACTGGCCGGGCACGGTGGCTCACGCCTGTAATTCCAGCGCTTGGGAGGCCAAGGCAGGCACATCAGGAGGTCAGGAGTTCGAGACCAGCCTGGCCAACGTGGTGAAACCCCGTCTCTACTAAAAATACAAAAAGTAGCTAGGCGTGGTGGCAGGCACCTGTAATCCCAGCTACTTGGGAGGCTGAGGCAGGAGAATCGCTTGAACCCAGGAGGCGGAGGTTGCAGTGGGCAAAGATCGTGCCATTGCACTCAGCCTGGGTGACAGGGCAAGACTCCATCTCAAAATAAATAAACAAAGTAATTAATTAATTAAATTAAAAACTGTGGGGATATAGACTTACTCTGGTTTTATTTTTTCTTTTCTTTTCTTTTCTTTTTTCTGAGACGGAGTCTCGCTCTGTTGCCCAGGCTGGAGTACAGTGGCGTGGTTTCTGTTCTCTGCAACCTCCACCTCCCGGATTCAAGCGATTCTCTTGCCTCAGCCTCTTGAATACCTGGAATTACAGGTGCCTGCCACCACCCCCGGCTAATTTTTTGTATTTTTAGTAGAGACAGGGTTTCACCATGTTGGCCAAGCTGGTCTCGAACTCCTGACCTCATGATCCACCCGCCTCTGCCTCCCAAAGCACTGAGACTACAGGAGTGAGCCACTGTGCCCAGCCTACTCTGGTTTTAGTGCATTCAAGAGGAACAAAAAAGGAAGAAAATCACTAGTAAATATACCTCTTTCTGGTTAGAGTGGATGTTTGGAAATTATATATATATTATATTATATTATATATATTATATATATACACAAACACGTACATACATGCACACACATATATGCCTTTTTGATTATAGGATAGTATACCAAAACTCAGAAATATTATGGAATTAACAGAATTTAGTAAGGCAGATAAGTAGTAGGTAGAAAAATATTAATTTTATCTTCCAGCAGAAGCACTGTGAAAAATTAGACAACAAGAAAACATTCCATTCAAAATAATGACAATAAGGCCGGGCATGGTGGCTCACACCTGTAATCCCAGCACTTTGGGAGGCTGAGGCAGGAGGATCATCTGAGGTCAAGTTTGAGATCAGCCTGGCCAACATGGTGACACCCTGTCTCTACTGAAAATACAAAAATCAGCCAGCTATGGTAGTGTAAGCCTGTAATTCCAGCTACTCGGGAGGTCGAAGCAGAAGAATCACTTGAACCCAGGAGGCAGAGATTGCAGTGAGCCAAGATCCTGCCAGTGCTTTCCAGCCTGGGCAACAGTGTGAGGCTCCATCTCAAAAAAAAAAAAAAAAAAAAGACAATAGCAATAAACATTAAGAAATGTGTAATAGGAATGGCACACACAAAGAAGGAATGGCACAGAGCCTGTATGCAGAAGACCACAAACCCTTATTTAACGACGTAAGCCAAGATCCAAAGAAAATGATAGATTCTCAGATGGGAAAACTAAAAAAATAAGAAAAATCAATTATCTCGAGATAAATATAATATAATGCAATTTCAATTAGAATCCCAAATTTTCATTGTGTGTGTGTGTGAGTTGGGTAAATTTATCATAAATGTATAGGAACGAGTAAGTGTCACTAGTTGTTTAAATAAATACTGGATTTGGGCCAGGCATGGTGGCTCACGCCTCTAATCCCAGCACTTTGGGAGACCGAGGCGGGCAGATCATGAGGTCAGGAGATCGAGACCATCTGGCCAACATAGTGAAAACTCGTCTCTACTAAAGATACAAAAAATTAGCTGGGCATGGTGGCACGTGCCTGTAGTTCCAGCTACTCTGGAGGCTGAGGCAGGAGAGTTGCTTGAACCCGGGAGGTGGAGGTTGCAATGAGCCGAGATCCTGTCACTGCACTCCACCCTGGCGACAAAGTGAGACTCCGTCTCTCTCTCTCTCTTTAGGCCAAGGCAGGTGGATCACCTGAGGTCAGGAGTTCAAGACAGCCTGGCCAACATAGCGAAATCCCATCTCTACTAAAAATACAAAAATTAGCCTGGCAGTGGTGGCCCACGCCTGTAATCCCAGCTACTAAGGGGGCTGAGGCAGGAGGATCTCTTAACCAGGGAGGAGGAGGTTGCAGTGAGCAGAGATTGTGCCACTGCACTCCAGCCTGTGCAACAGAGTGAGACTCTGTCTCAAAAAAAATAAATAAACAAAATACTGGAGGCCGGGCACGGTGGCTCCCGCCTGTAATCCCAGCACTTTGGGAGGCCAAGGCGGGTGAATCGCTTTCAGCTCAGGAGTTCCGGACCAGTCTGGGCAACATGGCAAAACCCCGTCTATACTAAAAATACAAAACTTAGCCAGGCGTGGTAGTGCATACCTATAATCCCAGCTACTCGAGAGGCTGAGGCAGGAGAATCCCTTGAAACCGGGAGGCAGAGGTTGCAGTAAGCTGAAATCGTGCCACTGCACTCCAGCCTGGACGACACAGCGGGAGACTGTCTCAATAAATAAAATAAATAATATAAAATAACATAAATAATAAAATTGTAAATAATAAGTAAATAATAAGCAACAGAATGGAGAGGGGGTCCTATTTGCCTTGCCAGATTTTAGAGAACTTAGTATAGGCTAGGCAGGTGCAGTGGCTCACGCCTGTAATCCCAGCACTTTGGGAGTCCAAGGCAGTGGATCACATGAGGTCAGGAGTTCAAGACCAGCCTGACCAACATGGTGAAACCCCATCTCTACTAAAAATACAAAATTAGCCAGGCATGGTGGCACATGCCTGTAATCCCAGCTACTTGGGAGGCTGAGGCAGGAGAATCACTTGAACTCGAGAGGTGGAAGCTGCAGCGAGCTGAGATCACGCTACTGTACTCCAGCCTGGGCAACAAGAGTGAGACTCCATCAAAAAAAAAAAAAAAGAAACGAGAAAAAAAAAAAGAAAACTTACTATATAACTGCTGGAATGAGGTGGATGTGACATATGGAGTGGTAGACAAACCAAGGAAAGCAAGTAACAAATACAGGAGATGTTCTCATACAGGAGAATTATTACATGGCCAAAATTAGCATTTCAATTTAATTGGAACACATTAGATATATTTGTTCTTTTGTTCTTTTTGTTATCTTTTTTTTTTTTTTTTTTTTTTTTTTTTTGAGACAGAGTTTCGCTCTCATTGCCCAGGCTGGAGTGTAATGGTGTGATCTTGACTCACCGCAACCTCCGCTTCCTACGTTGAAGTGATTCTCCTGCCTCAGCCTCCCGAGTAGCCGGGATTACAGGCATACGCCACCACACCTGGCTAATTTTTTTTGCATTTTCAGTAGAGACAGGGTTTCTCCATGTTGATCAGGCTGGTTTCGAACTCCTGAGCTTAGGTGATCCGCCCACCTCAGCCTCCCAAAGTGCTGGGATTACAGGCGTGAGCCACTGTGCCCGGCCCCTATCTCTTTTTTTGTTTGTTTGTTTTCTGAGATGGAATCTGGCTCTCTCACCCAGGCTAGAGTGCAATGGCACGATGTTGGCTCACTGCAACATCCACGTCCCGGGTTCAAGCGATTCTTCTGCCTCAGCCTCCCAAGTAGCTGGGATTACAGGTGCCTGTCGCCACATCCAGCTAATTTTTTGTATTTTTAGTAGAGACAGGGTTTCACCGTGTTCCCCAGGCTGGTCTCAAACTCCTGAGCTCCGGCAATCCACCCGCCTCGGCTTCCCAAAGCGCTAGGATTACAGGCGTGAGCCACCGCACCTGGCCCCTATCTCTTAAAAATATATTTTTTTGCCCAACACACATTTCCAAGTTGCCTTGGGGGAAAAAAAATAAATGAAGCTGGCACAACTGAAAAAATAAAACTGGGGCCTTGGCCAGGCACAGTGGCTCAGGCCTATAATCCCAGCACTTTGGGAAGCTGAGGTGGGAGGATCACTTGAGGTCAGGAGTTCGAGACCAGTCTGGCTAACACGGTGAAAACCCTTCTCTACTAAAAATACAAAAGTCAGCCAGGCGTAGTGGTGTGCACCTGTAATCCCAGCTACTCAGGTAGCTGAGGCATGAGAATCACATGAACCTGGAAAGTGGAGGTTGCAGTGAGCCGAGATTGCACCACTGCACTCCAGCCTGGGTAAGGAAATGAGACTCTGTCTCCAAAAAAAAAAAAAAGATACTACAAAGTCAAGAGACAAACAATAGATAGGAACAATGATGCAGAAAGCTCATATCAAAATTGTCAAGGAGGCCCGGCGAGGTGGCTCACGCCTGTAATCCCAACACTTTGGAAGGCCAAGGCAGGTGGATCACCTGAGGTCAGGTGTTTGAGACCAGCCTGGCCAACATGGCACAACCCTGTCTCTACCAAAAATACAAAAATTAACCGGGCGTGCTGGCGGGCGCCTGTAATCCCTGCTACTCGAGAGGCTGAGGTGGGAGAATCGCTTGAACCCAGATGGTGGAGGTTGCAGTGAGCCGAGATTAAACCACTGCACTCCAGCCTGGGTGGCAGAGCAAGACTCTGTCTCAAAAATAAATAAGTACATAAATAAATAATTAAGTTCATAAAGAAATAAAACTTGAAATAAATTAGAGCTCTGCCAGGGGAAGTACTGACATATGATATTTATTGAGTGGGAAAAGTAAGATGCATGAAAGTGTGTATGGTATGACCCAATTTTAGTATAACAATGACCAAAACCCAGTGATCCTTTTCTATATGATGAGGGGTGTGTGTGTGTGCGTGCATGTGTGTATATTATGCATTCATGATAAAATTGTGTATAGGTGGATTCATGTGTAATAAAGCTATTTTTAAGACAAATACGAAGACCAATTCATTGCAAAAAGAAAAAAGGCCCCGATAAGAAAATAAAAATTAGCTATAAGCCCCTCCCCTCCCCCATATACTACAGGAAACATCATATATATTTTTTTCTATCCTTATGTGTCTGTTTACTTTTTTATTTATTTATTTGAGACGGAGTTTCGCTCTTGTTGCCTAGGCTGGAGTGCAGTGGCACAATAGCTCACTGCACCCTCCACCTCCTGGGTTCAAACGATTCTCCTGCCTCAGCCTCCCAAGTAGCTGAGACTACAGGCATCTGCCACCAGGCCCGGCTAATTTTTTGTATTTTTAGTAGAGACAGGGTTTCACCATGTTGGCCAGACTAGTCTCGAACTCCTGACCTCAGGTAATCCTCCCACCTCAGCCTCCCAAAGCACTGGGATTACAGGCAAGAGCCACCACGCCCGGCCTGTGTGTTTACTTTCCACAAAATTAGGATCTTATAGTTCATATTGCTTTTTTTTTTTTTTTTGAGATGGAGTTTTGCTCTTGTTGCCCAGGCTGGAGTGCAATGGCACACTCTCAGCTCACTGCAACCTCCGCCTCCCGGGCTCAAGCGATTTTCCTACCTCAGCCTCCCGAGTAGCTGGGATTACAGGTGGGCACCACCACGCCCGGCTAATTTTGTATTTTTTTTTTTTAGTTGAGACGGGGTTTCACCATGTTGGCCAGGCTGGTCTTGAACTCCCGACTTCAGGTGATCTGCCCGCCTCAGCCTCCCAAGGTGCTGGGATTACAGGCGTGAGCCACCATGCCCGGCTCTTATTGCTTTGACATTCATGTTTCTTCTAGTCAACTTTTCTCATCTGTCTCTGAGCATTTGCTGATGCTCTTTTCTCTCCAAATCACCCCTCCTTTAAGCTCCCGTTCAAATGCTACCTCCTCTGAGAAAGCTTCCCTTTAACGTGCCTGACAGACAGCGGTTGACGGCTCTGAATTTTATCATCACAGGCTCTCTCCCTTTCCTTGAAGCATGTTTAGGTCTACCCTGCATGAGAGTTTCTCGTGTGCTCCTCACCTCTCCTGTTAAACTGGGGAGCTCCTTGGGGGCAGGATCTCTGCCTCTTTCATAACTGTGTCCTCACGGTGCCTAGAATGCACACAGTAGGCACTTCATAAGCATCACTGTACAAAAGGGACGTAGGCTTCCTGTCTCTCTTGTATGGAGTTATCCCAAGATAGTGCGCACTAAATTAGTCAAGGCGAAGGGGGTAGATGCTTGGACACTGGAAGGAAGAGATCAAAGCTGGGGAGCGGCCTCCAAGGCCTGGGGGATCCCCTTGGGACCACCCAGATCCACCCTCCACTCCTTCCCTGGGCTCTTCCAACTGCTCAGAAAGGAACAACCCACACACAGGGCTCTGTGTATGATATATATTTATATATATAATTGCTCTCATTTTATTTTACTTAATCCTCTTTTTACAGTAGATCTGACACAGGCATTAAATAACTGCAGAGAGAGACCATGGTAGGGCGGGTGCAGGAAAACATGGGGGCCCGAAGGGAAGAAACACAGATCCAGCTAGAGAAAAAGGGAAGGGTCCACCTGTGGGTGGAGTGTGGAGGCTGCAGCATTAAAAAAAGAAAAAGGAGGTTAGAGAGGATGAGGAAGTGAAGGGATGCTGGAGGACAAAGGGTTAAAATGCCTCTACAGCTACAGAATATTCAGAGCAGGAGGCAGGAGGCCCCTCATTTGACATTCTGTGGGCATTATGGGTTTTTTTGTTTTTGTTTTTGTTTTTTTTTTAAAGGCAAAGGGGTCTGAAGAGATGGAGCCAAGACATTCAGAGGCTAGATTTGGAATTTTCAGGCTGGCATGCAGAGGAAAAGGAAGGAGTTAGTGATTAGTTGATAACTTGCTAAAAGAAGCCAGAGAAAGGATGGTGGGGGCAGATCTGGGCTCAGGGGAAGGAGGTGGAATAGTCCCAAAGCCAGCCGATGTTTCCAAGGTGGCCACTGGGGACGGAGCCAGAATGGCCGCCCCTCCCCCAGAGCTCCCTGGGAAGTGGAACTTGAAGGATATTCTGGGAAGGCGAATGGGGGAAGGGAGCCATCCATAAAAACAAAGTGGATATTCAGCCTAGGTCAACCCCGCCCCTCTGGGTAGCAGCTATTTGGGTGACAGAACGGCCTAGGAAGAAACTGAAGGCCGGGCGCGGTGGCTCACGCCTGTAATCCCAACACTTTGGGAGGCCGAGGCAGGTGGATCACCTGAGGTCGGGAGTTCGAGACCAGCCTGACCAACAAGGAGAAACCCCCATCTCTACTAAAAAATGCAAAAAAAAAAAAAAAGAAAGAAAGAAATTAGCCGGGCATGGTGGCACATGCCTGTAGTCCCAGCTACTCGGGAACCTGAGGCGGGAGAATCGCTTGAACCTGGGATGCGGAAGTTGCAGTGAGCTGAGATTGCACCATTGCACTCCAGCCTGGGCAACAAGAGCGAAACTCCATCTCAAAAAAACAAAGAAAGAAACTGCTGAAGTCGGGGGCTGCTAGAGGATTTTCAGGAAGGGTCAACACAGGCCTCACTTCCAGTCCCTCATTTCCCAGCTCACAGAGTCACCAGAGGGTGAGAAGCAGAACGTGCCAGCAAAGAGGGAAAAGGCCACAGAACCACCTTGTCCTCAATTACAAAGGGGTGCATTTCAGAGGAGGGAATAGGGATGGAGAGGAGGAGAAGACCTGCCCAGGAGCCAGATAAATTCAAAGTCACCAAGATGGCGACTGTGTAGACAGGGAGAAAGTATGAGAGATCAAGGGACGGTGGCCAGAGCTTAGGAATGGAAGGAGGGAGTGCCACATTCATCTCTGGAAGCAAAGGGGTCAAATGAGACGCGTGTGCACGTTTGTGTGTGTGTGTGGCGGGGGGTGTAGGTGGGTGGGTGGGTCAGTGGGCACTTCCTATAACTCTCAGGGGATATGCAGGCAGGAGAGTGGATAGCTCTCACAGCTAAACCAGAACTAGAAAGGCTCCTAACTCCTCCGTGGCCATCTTAGCCCAGCTCCCTGTCTGACTGATCTGAGGTTGGGAGAAGTTGGTGGGAAAGGCGAGTGACGGAACCGCAATGGACTTCAGGCTGGGTTGAGAAGTCAAGGAAAAGGATGTGAGGCTCAGACAAGTCATAGCTCTGTTATCAAAAATACCTTTGGGGTGGGTGAGGGAGGGATCAGGCAGGGTCAGGGACATTCCAGGAGCATCCACAGGAGAGAGATGGGGTGGGAGGAAGGGGCCTCAGGTTTTGTTGATGCGGAGTTTGAAGGCCACGCGGCCGGCGAACTTGTCTCGCTCATCGTCTGTGGCGATGTTGGCGGCGTTGATGCGACATTCTACATTCACCTCCACGTTGGGGGTCACATTCAGGAACTTCACAGCCACCAGGGGCTGTGTGTAGTTCACCTGGGCCGGAGGAGCAGTGCAGGGTCTAGGCCTGGGGCAACGCGGCCTCCTTCCCTAGCTCACCACCCGCACCCGCCATCAGCCTGGGCCTCCCCTGGGACTTACGTGGAACTTTTTGCCATAGTAGGGGAAGTACATGAGGTCGATGTTGCCGTTGGCGGGGAACATGACGAAGTTGCCGAGATTCTCAGCATCTTCATCTCGCTGTGGGGGTGCAGGAAGATAGGGGGTGAGCCAGTTAGGGATGGCAGGCACCCAGGAGCTCACCAGACTTCCATTTGTTCTTTTGTTCTTCCTTCGCCCCAATTATTCCTGTCTCAAGTCTGCCTCCCTGGAGCTGTGAGTCTGTGTGTGTGTGTCTGCATGTGCGTGTGTAGATGAGGGGATGGTCTGTCCCTGTCATCATTCTAGGAACTCCTGAAGGCTGCTAATGGCACGAAAGCCTCCTACTCCACTCCTACCCCAAGTTCTTACCCCATCCTCAGGAATCAGTTTCTGGAGCAGAGCCAAGAAAGAAGAGATACATGATTAAGGGTTGAATAGGAAGCAAGGAAGGGGATGTGGAGGGAGCAGCCAGTTTCTAGAAAGGACAGACCGGGGGGGAAGCGGGGAACAGGGTCCCAAGGACAACGAACTGGTGGCAGATGGTGCTAACAGATCAGCAGCTACCAGACACCTAGAAGGAACTGACGGGTGGGGGCCATATGGGAGGGAGAGCGAACGATACGGACAATCTGGGAATGAAGGAGAAGGTGGAAGCGTTAGGGAGAGAAGCCAGAGGCCAGGGCGTTGGTGGAGGAGGGCGTGTGTCTGGCCCCTAGGAGAGCAGGCCTCTGCATCCCAGAGAGAAGCAAGAGGAGTGCGGGGCCCTCGGAGTTCAAGCTACAGTGGAGCCCAAAAGCCCACTCTTACCCCCTTGTTTCTATGGTGATGGGGCCTCTAGGAGCAAAGAAGATAGGGAGAGACAGGTGAATTACACAGAAACCATGAAGGACACTCAGGTGAGCCACTCAGGTGAGCAGGCAGACAAGGCCCAACGAACTCACCTTCCCAGCACAGGTAACATTCATGCTCTGGTTTGCTCCTGCATAGAAGTTGATGACCTGGAGTGAGGGTGGAAGGTGAAGAGAGTCAGAGGAAGAAGTTGTCGAAGATGGGCATCCAGACCAAGCTAAGCCGGGGACTGTAGTCCCAACTACTAGGGAGGTTGAGGCGGGAGGATAGCTTAATTCCAGGAGTTCAAGGCCAGCCTGGGCAACATAGCAAGACCCTGTCTAAAAAAAAAACAAAAGGCATCCAGCCTTCTAACTGCAGAGCTTAGCCTCCAAGAGTCCCACCTCTCTTTTTCTCTCAGCTACACAAACATCCAAGTCTTTCTCATGCCCATTAGCCCCAGTGAAAGGATGCAATTGTCTGCAGGTGGTGTCCCCAGATCCTTCCTCCATTCACCCTGGGGACCAAGGTCATAGATACCCGGTTCATCTTGATGAAGACACAGGGCTGCCCAGTGCTGTAACCATAGTGGGTGGAGTCCCCAATGCCGGAGCAGTTGCCCAGCTGGGTCCGGTTGAATTGGCAGGCACGTTTGGGGTAGTTGAGGACTCCATTATCTGGCTGTTCGTAATAGCGTCCAGGGCGGCAGACATCATTCTTTTGGGCTTGGATAGAGTCGTTGTAAGCTAAAGAGGTGGGAGGGAGAGACTCAGGGGCCAGATGTTCCACTTCCAAGGTCCCCAGTCCCCTGCCCGAAGTCTTGAACTGACACATAACCAGGCCCACACTCACGCTCCAAGAACTTGTTGAGCTTCTGAACATGCTGGTCCCAGCTTTCAGTGTCACTGACATTGACAATGACATCAAGGTTCTCAGTCTTGGGGCGAATCATCAAGCCTACAGCCAACAAAGGCAGAAGTTGGGGGTATCTATAAGATGAGGGACTGCACACAGAGGGAAGAAAATGGACACAGGGAACACCAGAGTGGGGACAGCGGTGAATATCTGAGATCGTCTTCATGGGAGGGTGATCTCCTGTGGCTATCTGCCACATGCCCAAATCACACAGCTCCCAACTGCAGTAAATGGGAAGGTGGACAGATTTCAAGAACTTCCAAGCACGTGGGGATTGGGTCATCAAAATCAAACTCCTGGAAGGAACTATGAGTTCCTTCTGGAGGTTTGGGGGCACAAGAGCAGTTAGAGTAGCTGGCAGGGGGAGCCTCCACACTCACCCGGTGTGGCCAGTCGGTCCTGGTACTTGGGGGTATGGTCGGAGACAGTCTGCAGCATCACCCACATGGTGAGGGTGAACATGGCGGTGAGGAACCCATAAAAAACGAGGTAGAAGAGGAGGATAAAGGCTAGGGAGGAGGAAACAGGGTCAGCAGGGCCCAAGGTTCCCACCATAACCTCAACTATCCCCACACACCCCTCTACCCACTCTGAAGTTCTGCACTGGGACTGATCACAGAGCCACAGGGATGTCTTAGAGCCTTCCTCTGGAGGCAAAATGAGACAAACTGGAAACAGGCAGTTGTGTCTGGCTTCTAGCCATGACTCCCAGCCCCCTCCTGGTCCTAGGGCACAGTGAAGCCCGACCTTGTGGAGGTCTGTTATTTTGCCTCCAATTACATTTCCAACTTCTCAACCATGCATAGTCCTGACAAGGCACACATCTGTTACCTCTGCATTCGTACTCATGCTTAAAGCTGTGCTAGCATGGTGCCTTTTAAAGCGGGTACTGGCCACCATTCACAAGCAAACCCTCATACCACCCCGCAGAGACTGGACCCTCAGATTTGAATAGCAACATCTCTCTCCTGGTGCCCTTCAGAAGCCAAACTTTGAACACAGTTCCTGAAATGAAAGACCTAACACTAGCCTAGCTACAAATCTCTCAGAGACGGCTTGTTAGAACCTTCAACAGTCACCCCACCCTCAGTTCACACCCAGCACCCTGGGCAGAGGCAGGGAGGAAAGGCAGAATCTCCCACAGCCTTCCCTTGGTGGGATCTCTCCATGGCTCCCCCGCCTGAAGTAAGGACCCAAGGGCCGGCTGTTCCCACCACCCTGGACTCCCAATCCTTCCATCTCAGAGGACACTTCTTCCATGAAGTCCTCTGGCTCTCCCAAGCATTGCTGGATTCTTCTCATCCCAGGGGCTGGAGTTTGAGTTCCCTGAGGGAATGGATTGCATGGGACCCACTTCGTGTAGGCCCCGAATGGGTGGACTGATGGGGACGGTGCCCAGTGTGGAAAGATTGTAAATCGTGTCACACAGTGTCCTCTGTCCCCTGTGTCTCAACGTCCCAGCTTGACCATCCCTCTTGGAAGAATTCCACCCCTCACCTGCACCTGTGCCGGTCACCAGACCCCCTCCACCCCCCCAACCCCCGACCACTACAGCTCCCTGAGTCCTGCCATGGTCAGCCTGGGGAGGCTTCCAAGTCATCCGACTGTCACAGACACCTGGCTGGCTGATGCACACAAATCACCACAGCGACCACTCCTCCCTCCGTCACCGACATGGGAGCAAAACCTGCAGCCTCGGTAAAACTCATACTATCAGCAGCCCCCCAACCCACAAAGCAGTCCCAGAAGGCTCCCAAGGCCAGGCGGTGGGATACAGACAACTTCCGCCGTGAAGAACCCCCCTAACACACCCCCCAAGACCCGCCCCCTCATGAACGTTCCCAGGGTCCAGGGGGTGGGCACGAGCTAAAAATAGACGGGGCTGCGGAGCTAGTGAGAGCCGGAGGGAGGGAAGGGGCGCTCTTTGGAGGTGGGGGACGCCCGTGTGGAGCGGACAGGCCCCGAGAGGGAGTGTGAGCGCCGGCGCGGACACGCAGGCGGAGCTGGCGACCCCCCGCCCGAGGGGGCTCCGCGGGGGGCGGGAAGGCGGCTGTGACCTACTTTCTCCGCCTCCGCACGGCCAGCCGGGGAGATTAGACTGGCGATTCGGCCCCCTCCCAGCCCAGAGCCCGGCAGGGAGGCTGGACGCCGGGGACCCGGGAGGGGAGCTGGGGCCGCGTCGGCGGGACCCTGCGCCCCCGAGGCGTCGCCCCGCGGCTTTCCCCCGCCCCTTGCGTGCCGGCCCTGCGTACCCCAGCTGGTCCCGGTGCGGCCCATAAACTGGTGCGTCCTCGGGTTCCACACGAACTCCTTCCACTCCTCAACCACCTGCCCGCAGCTCTTCTTCTCTTTCTGGATGACCATCTTGGTGGCGCGGGGCGAGTCCGGGCGCGGGGCGGGGGGTTGCGGAGAAGCGGGGGCGCCGCGCGCTGAAGCCCTCCACACACCCAAAAGCACGGGGAGCGAAGGCGGCGCGGGCAAAGGAGACCCCCCTCAGATATGCAGCTGCTGCAGATTCCGGGGTGCACGACCACGCGCTGCGGGGTGCTGGCAGCGCGGCGGAAGATGCACCGATCCTAGGCCCCCCAACTGCGATGAAAAGGGGTGCTGTCAGAGCAGGGGAGAATAACAAGAGGAAGGGGTATGAATGCAGCTTCACCCCCCACCAAACCGTCTAGAAACAAAACGAAATGGGGTGCAAAAACAGACGGCTACAAAAACCGAGCAGAACGCAGAAAAAAAGCGGGGTACAAAAAGGCAGAGAGAGGTGGGGGAGGGGGCCGCCCCGAAATCCAAGATGCAAAGAAGCTGTGGAACGAAGCTCAAGGCTCGCTCCGCCAAGCGGAGACCACTGCACCGGTGGTGGCTCAGCCGCGGGGGTGGGGCGGGGACGCGCAGCTGGGGGACAGCCAGGGATGGGGGGCCCCCCAGGCGGAGGCTCCGCTCCTCAGCAGTGCGAGGCCCGCGGTCGCCGAGCGCGGTCTTTATACTCTGCGGCTCTGGGGGTGCCCGCCCCCTTCCCACCCCCAGAAGCTCCGCCTCCTCGCCACTGGCCCAGGCGACCTCATACATATGTAAATATGGAGAGGTTGGGCCCGCCCCCCTGACTTCTCTTAGGGACCTAGCTGTCTCTCCATTACCCCCACCCCAGGTACTAGACTGGGACAGGGTGGGAGGAAGAGATAGAGGGCGTGTCCGGGCGGAGTAGAGGGAAAGATAACCCCAGAGAAACACAACGGCAGAGAGAGAAGCCGATATATGCTCAAAGGTGGGGGCCCCAGGCAGGGAGTTAGAAAGAGACTAAGATACAGATGCGGCGGAAGAGTCCGGGAGCAGATGGGGCAGAATGTCAGAGGAATAAAGAGCTAGAGATCAAGAAAGAGAGCGAAGAGACCAGCCGGGAGGCTGGCCGAGCCAGGAGGGAAGCTAGGACAGGCCCCGCAGAGATGGATAAAGGCCACCCCCAGAGGGACGTTCCCCTGTTGGGAGCCGCTACCAGTCCCCCAGACGCCTCCTTCTCCAATCTCACAGCCCCTGTCCACACCACCTGGCTCTGTCCACGTGCAGAGGCTTCCCCATCTTCCCATCACGTCTCCCTGAAGCCCTCTCAACACCACATTCCCAGTCCCCAGCACTGCCCTGAGATCCCAGCCCTGCAGCCAGGTCTACTTCGGTTCTCTGCCTCCTGGCACCCCCACCCCCACGTCGGAACTCACCTCCTTATGTGTCTACTTGGGTCAACAAACATTTATTGAGCACCTCTATAGACTGTGTGCTGTAGCCCTGGGGAGGCCAGAGAGGTTACACTGAAGCCACATCTCTCACGGGGCTCACAGTCTAGGGCGGGAGTACACTTGCTCTACATACCACATGTTAAGAATCATTATCTCAAGCCGGGCACGGTGGCTTATGCCTGTAATCCCAGCATTTTGGGAGGCCGAGGCGGGCAGATCACGAAGTCAGGAGTTCGAGACTAGCCTTGCCCACATGGTGAAACCCCGTCTCTACTTAAAAATGCAAAATTAGGCCAGGCGCGGTGGCTCACGCCAGTAATCCCAGCACTTTGGGAGGCCGAGGTGGGTGGATCACGAGGTCAGGAGATCGAGACCATCCTGGATAACACAGTGAAACCCCGTCCCTACTAAAAATACAAAAAAAAAAAATTAGCTGGGCGTCGTGGCGGGAGCTTGTAGTCCCAGCTACTTGGGAGGCTGAGGCAGGAGAATGGCATGAACCCGGGAGGCGGAGCTTGCAGTGAGCCGAGATCGCTCCACTGCACTCCAGCCTGGGCAACAGAGCTTCCGTCTCAATAAAAAAAAAAAAAAAAATTAGCTGGGCATGGTGGTGGGTGCCTGTAGTCCCAGCTACTCAGGAGGCTGAAGCAGGAGAATTGCTTGAACCCGGGAGGCGGAGCTTGCAGTGAGCTGAGATCACGCCATTGCACTCCAGCTTGGGCAATAGAGTGAGACTTCGTCTCAAAAAAAGAGAGAAAAAAAAAATCATTATCTCGGCCAGGCCCAGTGGCTCATGCCTGTAATCCCAGCTCTATAGGAGGCCGAGGCCAATGGATCACCTGAGCAAGGGAGTTCGAGACCAGAGGTCAGGAGTTCAAGACCAGCCTGGCCAACATGGTGAAACTGCGTCTCTACTAAAACTAAAAAAATTAGCCGGGTGCGGTGGTGGGAGCCTGTAATCCCAGCTACTCAGGAGGCTGAGGCAAGAGAATTGCTTGAACCTGGAAGGTGGAGGTTGCAGTGAGCCGAGATTGTGTCACTGCACTCCAGCCTGGACAAGAGCAAAACTCCATCTCAAAAAAATGGTATGCATTGAATGAATGAATGAATGAATGGGAGTTGGGGCTGGCCTCTGAAGGGTAGGTAGTCTTCCAGGACAAAGGAATGAAAGGCACAGAGGTGTGAAGTCAGGAGTAAGCACAGTCTACCCCAGGAGTGGCTGGCTTGGCTCCAGGAGAGAACTAGTCGGAGACTAGTGGGAAAGGAGGTTGGGGACACAGCATGGGTGTGGATTGCGGAGTACCCTGCAGGTTAGACTGAAGAATCAGGACTCTATCCTACAGGCTAATAAGAAGCCACTGAAGAACTTTCAGCTGAGGAGTGGCCTAATTAAAGCTGTATTTTGAGAAAATTAATCCCGAATCTGCTGCAGAATAGACTGAAGCATGGCCAGCTGCATAATTGTCAGGATCCAGTGCAAAATGGAAATGCAGGGACCCTTGTTCAAAACCTAGGGGAAAAAATGCCCTTAGAGGCACTAAAATATAAACTTTTTTTTTTTTTTTTTTTTTTTTTTTTTTTGGAGACAGAGTCTCACTGTGTCACCCAGGCTGGAGTGCAGTGGCATGATATCTGCTCACTGCAGCCTCTGCCTCCAGGGTTCAAGCGGTTCCTCCCTCAGTCTCCCGGGTAGCTGGGACTACCACCACGCCCGGCTAATTTCTGTATTTTTTTGTAGAGATGGGATTTCACCATGTTGGCCAGGCTAGTTTTGAGTTCCTGACCTCAAATGATCCACCTACCTTGGCCTCGCAAAGTGCTGGGATTACAGGTGTGAACAACCGCACCCAGCCTAAACTATTTTCCTTTCATCCATAGTTCTTTCAGCTTCTCATGGTTTTTTGTTTTAGAGACAGGGTCTTGCTATGTCACCCAGACTGGAGTGCAGTGACGCGATCTTGGCTCACTGCAACCTCCACTTCCCAGGTTCAAGCAATTCTTCTGTCTCAGCCTCTTGAGTAGCTGGGATTACAGGCACAGGCCACCATGCCCGGCTAATTTTTGTATTTTTACTAGAGACAGGGTTTTGCCGTGTTGGCCAGGCTGGTGTGGAACTCCTGGACTCCTGGACTCAAGGGATCCACCCACATCAGCCTCCCAAAGTGCTGAAATCACAAGTGTGAGCCACCGTACCCAGCATGTCCATGAACGACCTTCCAGTCTCAGCCTCCAGGTAGTTGGGGCTGCAGGCACACATCACCACACCTGGCTTTCTCATGGTGTTTTTTTCTTTGCTATTTAATGTTTACATGTTTTTTTTTTCTTTTTTTGAGACGGAGTCTCACTCTGTCGCCCAGGCTGGAGTGCAATGGCGCGATCTTGGCTCGCTGCAACTTCCACCTCCCGGGTTCAAGCGATTCTCCTGCCTCAGCCTCCTGAGTAGCTGGGATTACAGGCGTGCACAACCACGCCTGGCTAATTTTTGTATTTTTAGTAGAGATGGGATTTCACCATGTTGGTCAGTCTGGTCTGGAACTCCTGACCTCGTGATCCGCCCACCTCGGCCTCCCAAAATGCTGGGATTACAGGCGTGAGCCACCGCACCCGGTCTCTTTCTCTTTCTTTTTTAGAGATGGGGGGTCTCTTAAAAAACAAAGATGGAGGTCTCTGTGTTGACGAGGCTGGTCTCAAACTCCTGGCCTCAAGCAATCCTGCCATCTTGGCCTCCCAAAGTGCTAGGATTGCAGGTGTGAGCCCCGCCTAACATTTTTCTATCTTCAGCTTCCTGATAAGGAAGGAAGGACTGAAAGGAAAAGGAACTATGGGTTGCCTCAGCCTTCCCTTTCCTTCTATGTCATTGTTGCCAGCGTAAGTGGCCAAAACAGGGACATGACTAAGAAAAGATCTGGTAAGGTATGGTGATCATCCATGCCTCCTACAATGCCATTGCTTCCTTTCCACGTTCATAGCCAAGTTCTGCTTCCAGTGGAGAGTGTGGTCTCTCAGCTGTCAGCACTCCCACTTACTCTTTTTTTTTTTTTTTTTTTTTGAGATAGTCTCTTATTCTGTCACCTAGGCTGGAGTGCAGTGGCGTGATCATGGTGATCCAATCCTCCCAGCTCAGCCTCCTAAGTAGCTGGGAGTAGCCCAGTGGCTACTAGTCTCACCGGGCTAAATGCCTGTCTACTAGTCCACCTGGCTAAAATGCCTGGCTAATTTTTAAAGAAGTTTTTCATAGAGATGGGGTCTCGCCATATTGCCAAGGCTTGTGTTGAACTCCTGGGCTCAAGGGATCCTCCCGCCTGGGTCACTCAAAGTGCTGGAATTACAGGCAGGAGCCATTGTTGTTGAGGTTCCTTGCAGAGGGAGCTTTTCCATGTTCACGTCCAATTCAGCAGCTGGCCGGGCTCAGCCTCACATATTCAGTTGCAGACATAATGTGCTTACCTTATACTCATCTGGAGTCTGGCTGAACTCCCACACGTTGTAGGTTCCCCAGAATTCTGTGTCCATGTTGCATCTGGAACGCTGTGTGAATGGGACGTATCTCCTCTGCTCACACGCATGCGCCAGTGCTCCACTGGATGTTACTTACAAAGCACAAATTCAAAGATAGAACTATGAAGAATTTCAAGACAGCGATGGCATTCAGCTCCATGAATGTTTGGGGGGAAAAAAAAGCAACAGCAGAGTTTTAAACCAAACAACTATGAGCATGGGCCTTGCGCCACTGTGCAGGTCGCACGTCAGGAGGCTGGCCTTGGACTGGAGGGAGTGGGTTTGAGGATGTGGACGGCAGTTTGGATGTGAGGTGTTGAGAAACTGGGCTAAGGATTTAAGGTGACAGTTGAAAGGAGAAGAAAAACCTCTCCAAGGAAAACCGGCAAGATTTGAAGAAAGATTAAAAGAGGTGGAGATAATGATTCTTTTTTTTTTTCTTGAGACAGAATCTCGCTCTGTTGCCCAGGCTGGAGCACAATGGCATGATCTTGGCTTACTGCAACCTCCGCCTCCTGGGTTCAAGCGATTCTCCTGCCTCAGCCTCCTGAGTAGCTGGGATTACAGGCTCCCACCACTGCACCCGGCTAATTTTTGTAGTTTTAGTAGAGACGCAATTTCACCATATTGGCCAGGCTGATTTTAACTCTTGACCTCAGGTGACCCACCCACCTTGGCCTCCCAAAGTGCTGGGATTGTAGACATGAGCCACCATGCCTGGCCCACTCAATGCATATCTAATGAGCATTTGCTTAGAGTCAGGTGCTATTACTATTCTGGTCCCTGTGTTCCTGGGGCTGCCACTCCAGTAGACAATTAACAAAAGCAAACAAATACAATGTTTATATTATTATTATTATTATTATTATTATTATTATTATTATTATTTTGAGATAGAGTCTTGTTCTATCGCCCAGGCTAGAGGGCAGTGGTACAATCTTGGCTCACTGCAACCTCATCTCCCGGGTTCAAGCAATTTTCCTGCCTCAGCCCCCCGAGTAACCGGGATTACAGGCATGCACCACCATGCCTAGCTAATTTTTGTGTTTTAGTAGAGACCAGTTTCACCATGTTGGCCAGGCTGGTCTCCAACTCATGACCTCAAGTGATCTGCCTGCCTCGGCCTCCCAAAGTGCTGGGATTACAGGTATGAGCCACCGCACCCAGCCTAATAATGTTAATATTATGCAGGAAAAAGAACAGGCTAAGGTACCAGAGAGTGCCTGGATGGTCAGGAATGGCCTTACTGAGAAAGCAACTTTTTTGTTTTGTTTTGTTTTTTATACGGAGTCTCTTGTCGTCCAGGCTGGACTGCAATGGCATGATCTCGGCTCACTCCAACCTTCGCCTCCTGGGTTCAAGTGCTTCTCCTGCCTCAGCCTCCCAAGTGGCTGGGATCACAGGCATGCGCCACCATGCCCAGCTAATTTTTGTATTTTAGTAGAGACGGTTTTTCACCATATTGGTCAGGCTGGTCTCGAACTCCTGACCTCAGGTGATCCACCTGCCTCAGCCTTCCATAGTGCTGGGATTACAGGCATGAGCCACCGCATCCAGCCACAACTTTTTTTTTTTTTGAGACAATCTCTGTCTGCTGCCCAGGCTGGAGTACGGTGGTGCAACTGTGGCTTACTGCAGCCTTGAACTCTTGTGACGGAAATGACTGTTCATGTAAGACTCACACACCCAAAAGGAGGTCTGAGGAGAGGTAAGGGAAGAGATTTCCAGGAAGAAGGAAGTGAAAGTGCAAAGGCTGGGCTTTAATGAGCAAAGACAAGATGAATACAGCAAGAGATTGAAGACCTAGGCAGGGGCCAAACCATAAAGGGTCCTTGTAGACCCTAGAGAATGGCTGGATATTTTTGACCTCCTATCTCATCTAGTGGATGTGGTTTGGATTTTAATCCAACCACCAAAAAAACAATTCTGTGGTTTCAGGAGGGAGAGTGACATAATCACATTTAATGAAAATTGGCCGGGCCCGGGGGCTCATGCCTATAATACCAGCACTTTGGGAGGGCCAGGCGGGCAGATCATTTGAGGTCAGGAGTTCAAGACTAGACTGGCCAACATGGCGAAACCCCATCTCTATTAAAAATACAAAAATTATCACGCCTGTAATCCCAGCACTTTGGGAGGCCTAGGCGGGCGGATCACTTGAGGTTAGGAGTTCCAGACCAGCCTGGCCAACATGTGAAACCCTGTCTCTACTAAAAATACAAAACTAGCTGTGCAGCCGGGTGCAGTTGCTCACGTCTGTGATCCCAGCACTTTGGGAGGCCGAGGCGGGAGTTCAAGACCAGCCTGACCAACACAGTGAAACCCCATCTCTACTAAAAATACAAAACATTAGCCAGGCATGGTGGTGGGCACTTGTAATCCCAGCTACTCGGGAGGCTAAGATAGGAGAATCACTTGAACTCAGGAGGCAGAGGTTGCAGTGAGCCGAGATTGCGCCCTTTACACTCCAGCCTTGGCAACACTGCGAGACTGTCTCAAAAAGAAAAAAAAAAGACCAGGCGCGGTGGCTTATGCCTATAATCCCAGCACTATGGGAAGCCGAGGAGGGTGGATCACCTGCGGTCGGGAGTTCGAGACCAGCCTGACCAACATGGAGAAACCCCGTCTCTACTAAAAGTACAAAACTAGCCGGGCATGGTGGCACATGCCTGTAATCCCAGCTACTAGGGAGGCTGAGACAGGAGAATCACTTGAACCCGGGAGGCAGAGGTTGCAGTGAGCTGAGATTGTGCCATTGCACTCCAGCCTGGGCAACAAGAGTGAAACTCCGTCTGAAAAAAAAAAAAAAGGGCTGGGCGCGGTGGCTCACGCCTGTAATCCCAGCACTTTGGGAGGCCGAGGCAGGCGGATCACGAGGTCAGGAGATCGAGAACACAGCGAAACCCCGTCACTACTAAAAATACAAAAAATTAGCTGGGCGCGGTGGTGGGTGCCTGTAGTCCCAGCTACTCCGGAGGCTGAGGCAGGAAACCCGGGAGGCAGAGCTTGCAGTGAGCCGAGATCGCACCACTGCACTCCAGCCTGGGCAACAGAATAAGACTTCCTCTCAAAAAAAAAAAAAAAAAATTGGGCCGGGCGCGGTGGTTCACTCCTGTAATCCCAGCACTTTGGGAAACCGAGGCGGGTGGATCACCTGAAATCAGAACGTCAAGACCAGCCTGCCGGGCGCGGTGGCTCACACCTGTAATCCCAGCACTTTGGGAGGCTGAGGCAGGTGGATCACTTGAGGTCGGGAGTTCAAGACCAGCCTGACCAACGTGGAGACACCCCGTCTGTACTAAAAATACAAAATCAGCTGGGGTGGTGGCGCATGCCTGTAATCCCAGCTACTCGGGAGGCTGAGGCAGGACAATCGCTTGAACCCGGGAGGCAGAGGTTGCGGTGAGCCGAGATAGCGCCATTACACTCCAGCATGGGCAAAAAGAGCGAAATTCCGTCTCAAAAAATAAAAATAAATAAATAAAAAGAAGTTCAAGACCAGCTTGGTCAACGTGGTGAAACCCTGTCTCTACTAAATATACAAAAAAGATTAGCCGGGTGCCTGTAATCCCAGCTACTCAAGAGGCCAAGGCAGGAGAATCACCTGAACCCTGGAGGTGGAGGTTGCAGTGAGTCGAGATCGCACCATTGCACTCCAGCGTGGGTGACAGAGCGAGACTCCGTCTCAAAAAAAAGAAAACTCTTGTGTGTGTTTTATCTCTTCAACTAGACTCTAAGCGCTCTAAGCTCTTTGAGAACAGGCCTTTATCTTAGACTATTTATACTTTCTTCAAACTCAAGAAACCCATAGAGCTACCAAAGATAGTGCCTGGTTAAATTGGCATGAACATGGAAAGGCTCCTTCTGCAAGGGACCTCAGAGGCAACTTGCTCTTTCCTTCCTCAGGCAAGCAGCACGGAAGTGATACAGCCTCTGTTTGTAAAGATGAAACCTGGTCCTATCCTCAAAACGTAAAGCTTAGCAAACACAGCCAGGGGTGGCCTCCGGATTCCCGGCTCAGTCTCTACCCTTGTACCCCATGTTCACTTGGAAAGAAAGAAATGTCTTCTCTGCACTGTAGGGGGTTTATGGAGTAAGGATGAGATACCTGTTGCTCCCTTTCCTTGCTGTCTTCTCCTGCAAGTTTGGAGGAGAGAACGGAGGAGGGGGGAGGAGCCCCAGCATTAAGCGCAACATTGGTGTTCTGAGGGAAACACGCTGAGAGAGGGGAGATCTGAAAAATTTCCAGGAGAAGAGCTGTTACAAACCTCCAGCCTTTTCCTGGAGCCCACCTTTCCCACCAGCATCTCCAGAAAGAAACCAGGGCATGAAAGCCTTCACACCCCCTCTTTCATATCTAGACCTTGTCCTGGTGTGTCCGGAATTGGTGAGTTTTTGGTCTCACTAACTTCAAGAATGAAGCCACAGACCCTCGCAGTTGAGTGTCACAGTTCTTAAAAGGCGGCGTGTCCAGAGTTTGTTCCTTCTGATGTTCGGATGTGTTCGGAGTTATTTCCTTCTGGTGGGTTCGTGGTCTCGCTGGCTCAGGAGTGAAGCTGCAGACCTTCCCCGTGAATGTCACAGCTCTTAAGGCGGCTTGTCTGGAGTTCATCGTTCCTGCCAGTGGGTTCATGGTCTCGCTGGCTTCAGGAGTGAAGCTGCAGACCTTCAGAGTGAGTGTTACAGCTCATAAAAGAAGTGTGGACCCAAAGAGTGAGCAGCAGCAAGATTTATTGCAAAGAGCGAAAGAACTAAGCTTCCACAGTATGAAACGGGACCCAGTGAGTTGCCACTGCTGGCTCGGGCAGCCTGCGTTTATTCTCTTATCTGGTCCCACCCACATCCTGCTGACTGGTCCATTTTACAGAGAGCCGATTGGTCCATTTTACAGAGAGCTGATTGGTCCATTTTGACAGGGTGCTGATTGGTGCGTTTACAATCCCTGAGCTAGACACAAAAGTTCTCCAAGTCCCCAGTAGATTAGCTAGATACAGAGTGTCAACACAAAGGTTCTCCAAGTCCCCACCAGAGTAGTTAGATACAGTGTCGATTGGTGCATTCACAAACCCTGAGCTAGACACCAGGTGCTGATTGGTGTGTTTACAAACCTTGAGCTAGACACAGAATGCCGATTGGTGTATTTACAATCCCTTAGCTAGACATAAATGTTCTCCAAGTCCCCACCAGAGTAGCTAGATACAGAGTGTTGATTGGTGCATTCATAAACCCTGAGCTAGACACTGGGTGCTGATTGGTGTGTTTACAAACCTTGAGCTAGACACACAGTGCCGATTGGTGTATTTACAATCCCTTAGCTAGACATAAAGGTTCTCCAAGTCCCCACCAGACTCAGAAGCCCAACTGGCTTCACCCAGTGGATCCAGCACCAGGCCGCAGGTGGAGCTGCCTGCCAGTCCAGTGCCATGCACCTGCACTCCTCAGCTCTTGGGTGGTCGATGGGACTGGGCGCCATGGAGCAGGGGGTGGCGCTCCTCAGGGAGACTCGGGCTGCACAGGAGCCCACGGAGTGAAGGGGAGGCTCAGGCATGGTGGGCTGCAGGTCCCGAGCACTGCCCTGCGGCAAGGCAGCTAAGGCCCGGCGAGAATTGAGCATAGCAGCTGCTGGCCCTGGTGCTAATCCCCTCACTGCCCGGGGCCGGCAGGGCCGGCCGGCGCTCCAAGTGCCACGTCCACCCAAAATCGCGCTGGCCGGCAAGCACCGCGTGCAGCCCCGGTTCCCACCCGCGTCTCTCCCTCCACACCTTCCCGCAAGCTGAAGGAGCTGGCTCCGACCTTGGCCAGCCCAGAAAGGGGCTCCCACAGTGCAGCGGTGGGCTGAAGGGCTCCTCAAGCGCGGCCAGAGTGGGCGCCAAGACCGAGAAGGTGCTGAGAGCGAGCGAGGGCTGTGAGGGCTGCCAGCACGCTGTCACCTCTCACTGAGGGCTGTACCCGTCTATCTCCTTCCCGTCAGTCCGTGCAATTCCAGGGACTTAGCCGTCTGGGTTCCCAACAAAATGGGTGTTTGCAAAGACAAGAACAAGGAAAGAGAAGACTTCTGAAACACAGATATGTGGGGAGAGGGGAATGGAACAGTGCTGTTTAATGGGGACAGAGTCTCAGTTTTACAAAGATGAAAAGAGTTCTGGAAATGGATGGTGGTGATGGTTGCACAACATCGTGAGTGGAGTTAATGCCACTGAAATGTACACTTAAAAATGGTTAAGATGACAGGAGGCTGAGACGGGAGAATTGCTTGAACCTGGGAGACAGAGGTTGCAGTGAGCCAAGGTCGTGCCACTGCGGTCCAGCCTGGGCGACAGAGCAAGACTCCATCTCAAAAAAAAAAAAAAAAAGGTTAAGATGGTCCAGGCGCGGTAGCTCACACCTGTAATCCCGGCACTTTGAGAGACCAAGGTGGGAGAATCATTCAAGCCCAGGAGTTCCAGACCAGTGGGACCCCAGTCTATACAAAAAATTTAAAAATTAGGCCGGGTGCAGCAGCTCACACCTGTAATCCCAGCACTTTGGGAGGCTGAGGTGGGTGGATCACTTGAGGTCTGGAGTTCGAGACCAGCCTGGCCAACATGGTGAAACCCCATTTCTACTAAAAATACAAAAATTAGCTGGGCACGGTGGCTCACGCCTGTAATCACAGCACTTTGGGAGGCCGAGGTGGGTGGATCACCTGAGGTCAGGAGTTTGAGACCAGCCTGGCCAACATGGTGAAACCCCGTCTCCACTAAAAATACAAAAATTATCAGGCCTGTAATCCCAGCTACTCGGGAGGCTGAGACAGGAGAATTGCTTGAACCCAGGAGGCAGAGGTTGCGGTGAGCATTGATCGCACCACTGCACTCTAGCCCGGGCGACAGCAAGACTCAGTCTCAAAAAAAAAAAAAAAAAAAATTAGCCAGGCTTAGTGGTGCATGCCTGTAGTCCCAGCTACTGGGGGGGCTGAGGTGAGAAGATTACTTGAACCCAGGAACTGGAGGCTACAGTGAGCCATGGTTGCACCAATGTACTCCAGCCTGGGCAACAGAATGAGATCCTATCTCAAAAACAAAAAAAAGGTTCAGATGGTAAATTTTATGTTGTGTGTATTTTACCACAATCGAAAGAAGGAAGGAAGGGAAGGAAAGAAAGAAAAAGAAAATAAGAGAAGAGGCCAGGAATGGTGGCTCATGCCTGTAATCCCAGCACTTTGGGAGGCTGAGTGGGGAGGATTCCAAGAGTGGGGCCAAGAGTTTGAGATCAGCCTGAGTAACATAGCAAGACCGCATCTCTACAAAAAATTTAAAAATAAGCTGGGTGCAATGGCCTGCTCCTGTGGTCCCAGCCATGATTGCACCACTGTACTACAGTTGGTAACACAGCAAGGCTGTCTCTAAAAAAGAAAAAAATAGAAGAAAAGGAAGAAAGAAAGCCAGATGTGGTGGCTCACGCTTGTAATCCCAGCACTTTGGGAGGCCAAGGTGTGTGGATCACTTGAGGCCAGAAGTTTGAGACCAGCCTGGCCAAATGGTAAAACCCTGTCTCTACTAAAAATACAAAAAATTAGTCAGGTGTGGTGGTGCATGTCTGTAATCCCAGCTACTCAGGAAGCTGAGGCAGGAGAATCGCTTGAACCCAGGAGCTGGAGGTTGCAGTGAACTGAAATCGCGCCACTACACTTCAGCCTGGGCAACAGAACCAGATGCTGTCTCAAAAAAAAAAAAAAAAAGGCCTGACATGGTGGCTCACGCCTGTAATCCCAGCACTTTGGGAGACCGAGGTGGGCAGATCACAAGGTCAGAAGATTGAGACCATCCTGGCTAACACAGTGAAACCCCGTCTCTACTAAAAATACAAAAAATTAGCTGGGCGTGGTGGTGGGCATCTGTAATCCCAGCTACTTGGGAGGCTGAGCCAGGAGAATCTCTTAAACCCGGGAGACAGAGGTTGCAGTGAGCCCAGATCACGCCACTGCATTCCAGCCTGGGCGACACAGTGAGACTCTCTCTCAAAAAAAAAAAAAAGAAGAAGAAGAAAAAGAAGAATAGATAAGAAAATAAAGTTTATTCACTGACGAGATCAAGCTCCAACTCCTCAGCAGGACACACAAGGCCACATAGCCCAAGGAGCCCCCACCTGCCCTCACTCCATCTCAGCCTCTCCATGGTTCATCCATGTCACACGCCCTCCCAGATCTTTGATACCCAGCAGGCTCAGACTAGTATGTCAGGAACTATGTGAGAACTAATATGTCAGGAACTGTGTGAGATTAATAAGAACAACATTTCTTATATATATTGAGAAATATATATATATCTCATATATTGAGCACTTTCTGTATGCCAAACACTATGCTAGACATTAAAATGTCTACATGATTTCATCAAATCTTCACAGTAACCTTCTAAGATAGAGAAACTTCCCATTTTGTAGATGGGGAAACAGTAATAGAGGTTTAGTCATTTGTTCAACTTCGCACATCTAACAACTCGTTTCTTTTGTTTTTTTATTTTTTTGTTTTCTTGTTCCGAAGTCTTGCTCTGTTGCCCAGGCTGGAGTGCAATGGTGCAGTCTCAGCTCACTGCACCCTCCGCCTCCCGGGTTCAAGCGATTCTCCTGCCTCAGCCTCCCCAGTAGCTGGGATTATGGGAGCCCGCCACCACGCCCAGCTAATTTTTTGTATTTTTAGTAGAGATGGGGTTTCACCATGCTGGCCACGCCGGTCTTAAACTCCTGATTTCAGGTGATCCATTCACCTTAGCCTCCCAAAGTGCTGGGATTACAGGCATGAGCCACCGCGTCCAGCCATAACTCATTTCTTTGATGGTCCTTAGTAGAACTAGCAACTAGGTTTCTTGGCATCTCAGATACCTCTGCTAAAGCATTTTACATGTCTATCTCTCTCTCAAGACCCTGGTTCTGGCTGGGCCCGGTGGCTCACGCCCTTAAACTCAGCACTTTGGGAGGCTGAGGTGGGCAGATCACCTGAGGTCAGGAGTTTGAGACCAGCCTGGCCAACATGGTGAAACTTTGTCTCTACTAAAAATATAAAAATTAGCCAGGTGTGGTGGTGCATGCCTGTAATCCCAGTTACTTGAGAGGCTGAGGCAGGAGAATCACTTGAACCCGGGAAGTGGAAGTTGCAGTGAGCCAAGGTCACGCCATTGCACTCCAGCCTGGGCAATAGAGGGAGACTCTGTCTCAAAAGAAAAAAAAAAAAAAAGGCTGGGCGCGGTGGCTCATGCCTATAATCCCAGCACTCTGGGAGGCCGAGACAGGCAGATTACCTGAGGTCAGGAGTTCGAGACTAGCCTGGCCAACATGGTGAATCCCCATCTCTACTAAAAGTACAAAAATTAGCCAGGTGTGGTGGCACATGCCTGTAGTCCCAGCTACTTGGGAAGCTGAGACAGGAGAATTGCTTGAGCCTGGGAGACAGAGGTTTCAGTGAGCTGAGATCATGTCACTGCACTCCAGCCTGGCTGAAAGAGCGAGACTCTGTCTCAAAAGAAAAAAAAAGGCCAGGCACAGTGGCTCACGCCTGTAATCCCAGCACTTTGGGAGGCCGAAGCGGGTGGATCACGAGGTCAGGAGATGGAGACCATCCTGGCTAACACGGTGAAACCCCGTCTCTACTAAAAAAACAAAAAATTATCTGGGCGTGGTGGCGTACGCCTGTAGTCCCAGCTACTCAGAAGGCTGAGGCAGGAGAATGGCGTGAACCCAGGAGGTAGAGCTTGCAGTGAGCCAAGATCACGCCACTGCATTCCAGCCTGGGAGAAAAAGCGAGACTCCGTCTCAAAAAAAAAAAAAGACCCTGGTTCTCCAGCCCAGTACCAAGTTTTATATTCATCTTTAGAGTCCCTGTGGTGGGCTACACAGTATTTGACCAATGTATCAGCAGCCAATACATGTTAATTGAATGAAAGTTGGGGGGGGGGCGCAGCAAGAAGGGAGGGAGAGAGAGAGAGAGAGGCAGTGGGTAGGATGGGGTGAGTGGGTAGATCAGGCCCAGAGGCTTTAGTGTGTGCTGCCAAGCTCTGAAAAGTTTTTGGGGGTGTGGGGAAGGCAGGGGACACTGGGCAGGCATCGTAGGTGCCCTTGGTTGGGGACCTGGCAAAGTCGATGTCAAAGCGAAGTCAGTCTTAATGAAAGAGTGTAGACAGCTCTGGATGGTAATCAGGAATCCTGGAATCTAGGGCAGGCTGGGGAAAGAGAGGTTGGTGGCACAGTGTCCTGGAGAAGGTGGGGTGGAGGGAGGAGAGAAAAGCCAGCTCCGAGGAGATTCCAGGGACAAAAGGTCAGGATATTGGCACTCGGAACAACCCCCTTGGTGGGTGCCCAGGTACATCCGGGCTCTTTAACCCCCCTCCCTGCTGGCTCACACTCCACAGGCCTCCACAGGATGACTTCTTTTCATTATTCAGGTCTCTGCTCAAATGACTTCCCTGACCACCCAGCTAATGTTGACCCTCCCCTCCCCCTCCTATTATATTACAGGGTTTTGTTCCCTTTATTGCTCTAACCGCTATCTGAAATAATCCTGCTTATTTATTTGTGTTCTTGTTTGTGTCTGCTTCCCCTCTACTATGCTATAAGTTCCATCAGAGCGGGGATAGTGTTTGTCCTTTTCTTTTTTCTTTCTTTCTTTTTTTTTTGAGACGGAGTCTCGCTCTGTCGCCCAGGCTGGAGTGCAGTGGTGCGATCTCCGCTCACTGCAAGCTCCACCTCCCGGGTTCACGCCATTCTCCTGCCTCAGCCTCCCAAGTAGCTGAGACTACAGGCGCCGCCACCACGCCCGGCTAGGATGGTCTTGATCTCCTGACCTCATGATCCGCCCGTCTCAGCCTCCCAAAGTGCTGAGATTACAGGCGTGAGCCACTGCGCCCAGCCTGTTTTTGTCCTTTTCACCAACGAATCCTCAGTATCTACAACAGTGCCTAGTACATAGCGGGTGCTCAGGTGGCCTAGGTTAGCCCTGAACGTCAACAAGGGGCCAGAGTTAAATGTGGATGCCCTCTCCATTGCTGAAGACTCCACTACCAACACTGCTGGCTGGGTGGAGGCAGTTGTAGATCCTGAGAGGGTCTATAGGGTCAAGATTAGGAGAGGTAGAAGGTGGGGCTTGGGATTTGTGTCTTCTACCCTACAGACTCCCCAGGGCCTCCTTACCCTGGAGTCATTTAGGTCCCGGCTGATCTCTGCAGAAGGGGACAGCAGCTCCAGTGAGTGACTCAGCCTGCTGCCTGGGTTACTGGTGAAAAGATTCTTGTAAGAAATTAGGAGTCTTGGACACTGGGATTCTCATGGGGTCTGGAGATGGAGGATGCTTTAACCTAATGGTTCTTTTTAAGTTTTTTTTTGTTTTGTTTTGTTTTTTTGAGACAGAGTCTCACTCTGTCACCCAGGTTGGAGTGCAGTGGCGCAATCTCGGCTCACTGCAACCTCCACCTCCCAGGTTCAAGCAATTCTCCTGCCTCAGCCTCCCGAGTAGCTGGGATTACAGGCGCCCACCATCATGCCCAGCTAATTTTTGTATTTTTAGTAGAGACGGGATTGCACTATGTTGGCCAGATTGGTCTCAAACTCCTGACTTCAGGTGATCCGCCCACCCCGGCCTCCCAAAGTGCTGGGATTAAAGGTGTGAGCTACCACACCTGGCTGACCTAATAGTTCTTGAGAGGAAAGAGGATGGGGGGCTTTAGCCCCAGGGCTCCTTAGTAGGCTGGGAGCTTTGGGCTAGGACACAAGGGTTCCTAAGAGGGCAGAAGACTGGGAGCTGAGGGGTAGGGGCTATGGGCTTGGATACGAGGGTTCCCCAGGGAGGGATGCTGGGCACCAGCATTCTCTAGAGGTCTGTGGTTGAGAGCTGGGTCACCGTATTCTTTGAGGGGAGAGATATTCCCAAATCTGTCTGTTTTTCCCAGCTGGGACCAGCACAAGCCAGTTCTTGCTTAATGGAGTAGAGACAAATTTGTCTGGGAAGGCAGCAAGTGGACCAAGACTAGGAGAGAGAGAGAGAGACGCGACTTTCTCCCTCTGCTCTCCTCCCTTTTTCTTTCTCCCTGCCTCCACCCCTTTTTCCAGAACCCCTACCCACATCTCTCTGTGACCCTCTCACGCCCCCTGCTGCTTCTTCCCTGGGCAGCAATGGCCAGTCCAAGGACCAGATGACTGAGATGTCAAAATCCCATCTCTTCCCTTCCTCCTGATCTCTCTGGACCAGCCACAGAGGCAGGAAACTGGTCTCAAAGGGAGTAGCTTCTGCGGAACCAGGTGGGTCCTGGCTTCCAGAAAGTGACCTGTATCCAGAGTATGTCTGTCTGTCGGGGTTTTTGCTGGGATCTCAGCCTAAGAAGTCCTCATTTCCAGCCGGACGCAATGGCTCACGCCTGTAATCCCAGCACTTTGGGAGGCCGAGGCAGGAGGATCACCCGAGGTCAGGAGTTCTAGACCAGCCTGGCCAACATGGTGAAACCCCACCTCTACTAAAAATACAAAAAATTAGCTGGGGGTGGTGGTGCACGCCTGTAATCCCAGCTACTCGGGAGGCTGAGGCAAAAGAATCGCTTGAACCCGCGAGGCGGAGGTTGCAGTGAGCCGAGATCACGCCATTGCACTCCAGCCTGGGCAACAAGAGCGGGAAACTCCATCTCAAAAAAAAAAAAAAAAAGAAGTCCTCATTTCCTTAGAGAAACTCTCCTTGACGCTCAGACTAAGTTAAGGCCTCCTAGTCTCCATGTTTTCTATTTTTTCTTTTTTCTTTTTTTTTGAGATGGACTCTTGCTCTGTTGCCCAGGCTGGAGTGTAGTGGCGCGATCTCGGCTCACTGCAAGCTCCGCCTCCCGGGTTCACACCATTCTCCTGCCTCAGCCTCTCGAGCAGCCGGGACTACAGGCGCCCGCCACCATGCCCAGCTAATTTTTTTGTATTTTCAGTAGAGACGGGGTTTCACCGTGTTAGCCAGGATGGTCTCGATCTCCTGACCTTGTGGTCCGCCCGCCTCTGCCTCCCAAAGTGCTGGGATTACAGGCGTGAGCCACCACGCCCGGCCAGTCTCCATGTTTTCACAACTCTCCAATTCTTCTTTATCAGTGCTTCCAACTATCCACTTATTAGTTAGCCTTTGATGGATGTCTGCTTCCCTATGGGACTGTGGGCACCAAGAGGGTAGGAACCAGAGTGTTTTTGCTCATTAAGACAACTCAATACTTGGCACAGTGCCTGGTACATTGCTAGTGCACAGTGAATATTTGTTGAATAAATGAATAATCAGTAACTTTCAAAGGGGGTTCTTAGGTGGAGCTTTAATGGGAAGCGTCAGTGCCATTGCCTGGGCTCTGGGGGCAGCTGTGAGTCCAGATCTCATGGCTTCTGTTCAGGGCCTGGTCCACATCCAGCCTCTGACCTTGTGCCCAAAGGCCATTCAGGCAAAAAGAGGTGGAAGAGTCTTCTCCTAGAGGGAGGTAGTGCAAAGGTGGCATTAGAGCATTAAGGTGGCTCGGATCCAGAATCTTCTCCCCACTTTTCCACTCCTCCAACCTGAGTTTGCAAAAGCACTACCTTCCACTGCCCCCATATCTTCTTCTTGTGGCCTATTCTTCTTCCCTCCCAGAGGTTTCCTTCCCCTCAAAATGTGCCGCCTCCCTTGAGCTGTTTCCAATGTTGTGCTCATGAACTTGAACATCATTCTCTCTTACCTGGTAAAGCCCCCAGGAAGAGACGCCCTTGAGGCTTGGCCCAGAGGTTAAGGAGGGGAGCCAGGCCTAAGGGAGGCAGGGCAAGGGCCTTCATCTTCGACCCTTGGCTCAAGACCACCCTGGACATACTCAGCTTCAGCTGAAGAGGGAGTCCCAAGACCAGGGGCAGATCCAGCCCTGGCCCCGACCCAGAAGACAACACCACCTTCTGCAGAGTGTGTGGGAAAGGGACGGTAGAGAGAGAGGGAAGAATGAGCCGGGCCTACTGCCTGTGGCCTCACCCCTAGCTGCCTTAATTCTGCCTCTTCGCTATGCCTCCACCTACTGGCCATTCTCACCACTTAAATCCTGCCCCAATTTTTTTTGGCTTGACCCTTTTTGAAACCACACCTGCCCCAAGTAAATATGCAGTCTAAGTCAAAACTGTTTGCTTGCTGTGGGGAGCTTCAAGATATGTCCCTCGCCCCTACCACCCACCTGAGTGCCATCCATAAGCCTTATTTTTATTTTTATTTTTTTGAGACAGGGTCTCACTGTGGCCCAGGTCAGAGTGCAGTGGCACATCATAGCTCACTGCAGCTTCAAACTCCTGGGCTCAAGTGAACCTCCTGCCTCAGGCTCCTAAATAGCTAGGGCAGCAGACATGTGCTACCATGCCTGGCTAATTTTTTTTTTTTTTTAGACAGAGGTCTCTGCTATGTTGCCCAGGCTGGTGTCAAACTCCTGGCCTCAAGTGATCCTCTGGTCTTGGCCTCCAGCACCTGGGATTACAGGCAAGCACCACCATGCCTGGCTAATTATTAATGAAAAACAATTCTGTGGAGCCAGTCTTGTTATGTTCCCTGGGCTGGAAACCTTCCTAATATTGACATGTTGGACTCCCCTCTTCCCTCATTGCTCCAGGCTCCACTGAATACAGGCAATGCCCCACTGTCCCCCTTTACTTGATCTTGGAGGTGGAGACTGAGCCAAGATGGGTTCTCTGGTGTCCCAAGAGCAAGGAGGTGGCCTGAGCCTGCTGCCTGCTTGAGTCCCAGGTCCAAAGAGAAGGCCCAGGGCTCTGCATGAGGCTGGGGAATGTCTGTGGGGAGAAATGATTATCCTGAGGCCTCAAAGCTGGGGTCTCAAGGAGGAAAGGGGCCAGTGGTAGAGGGGGACAGAGGCAGGCTGAGCTGGCCAGGGTGGGAAAAATAGACTCCGAGGAAATCTACCTCGGAGATTGAATTCTGCCTGAGTCCCTGGAGGGAGAAATATCCCGGGATTTGATTCTACATCACAGCTTCTGAGGCTAGTGGGGGCAGATGCTGAGATCTCGGCCTGTTTGTCCAGCCAGGAATCCCGGCGCAGGCAGCCATCCAGGGCAGGAACCAGCTGGAGTGTGACAGAGATAAGATACGGGGATGTAGAAATCAGGGCATCGGAGCCGCAGTCCCGACCTCCCTGCCCTCAGTTGACTCCCCTCTGAGCATTTGGCCTCCCCCTTGCAGCTCTCAACCCTTCCCTTCTCCCTAAAAGTGTGGACTTAGATTCCCACGGCCAGCCACCCAGCAGTGCTTTACCAAGTCTTGGCTAGGGTTCCACCCCTGGGGTGTAGTTACCGGCAACCGAAGGTTGGAAGCGGGGAAGAGCAGCCCCCCAAGCGCAATCCTCATGATGGGATGGCGTTTGCTGGTCAGGGGCCCAGAGACCTGTCTCAGGCGCAGCACCTCCTCCCCATCCACCTCCAGCAGCACAGAGTCCCCCTCCATCTTGACTTCCACCTGCAGGAAGGTGGGAAGCAAAATCAGAGGCCCCTGGGATCTGTTTCTGCCACCTTCCTGTGAGGCAGCCTAGTACTATAGTGGAAAGAACATGCCTTAAAGAAGCAGCTAGCATCCTTGGCCTTGGGTCACTCAGCTCTTGTCACTTATATACTGACTGAGCCTTAGAATTCCCATCAGAAAAGATGGGGCCAAGAATAGCTACTTTGTGGGGGTTCGTGTGGATTAAACGAGATGACAGTGGTAGAGGGATGCCCAATAACTTGGTTTTGTTCCCTTTCCTCAGACCAGCTCCAGACATCCCTCCCCTGAGGACCAGAGCTAGCTTACCTGGTGCCATCTCCCATCATCCAGCCGTGGTCCAGCACCCACCGTAAGCTGGGCCCAGTGATTGTGCAGTTGGATCTCAGGCCTGCCGTCTCGAAGTCCCAGCATAAACCAGTCATCCTTAGGGTTGGTATCCCCATAAAAAATCACTCCCTCTGGGTCCCAGGTTCGAACCTCAAAGGAGGAGGAGGTTCTGGAAGGACACAGAAGGAAAGATTGTGTATGTCATGTGTCCTTTGAGAACCAGTGTGGGTTTGGGGGAGATGGTGTTCACAGATAAGGAAAGGAAGACAGGGAAAAGAGAAGAGCTGATGGAGAGAGGGCAGAACCAGGGGACTGGGTCAAGGGCTAGGCCAACCCCATACTTTGTGATCTTGGTGAGGTCAAAGGTCATGACAGCGATAGGCTCTTGTCCTGGGCCATTGCTGAGGTGGACAGCCGGAGGGTCGTGGGCACTCTATCAGAAAGAGAAAACAAACAAAGCTGAGTAGGGACATGTCAGAGACAGACAGAGGGAGAGGCCCTGCTACAGGGCCAGAGGAGAGAAGGGAAGACTGCATGAGCTGAGTGCCCTGTCCCGCTCCTGCACCTGGGTGGGGAGAACAGGTCTCAGGGCCCATCCCTGGCGGGTGTGACGCAGTAGTAGCAACAGCAGCAACAGCAGCAGGCGCGAGGTAGCCAGTGGGCCTCTGCTCTCCATAATCAGCCACTGTCCACTCGGCGGCTCAGACAACTCTTGGGAGAATGTGTAGAGGCAGGCAGCCTTGCGTGTGGGCGGTGGAGGGTTAAAGGTTGCCCGGGGAGGAGGGGGTAAAGGAAACAGGGGCACTGACCCTTGACCCCTGCCCAGGGGCCCAGTCACAAGACTCAGCTATCACCCCTCTGGGGATCAATGGGGTGAAGGACAGAGTCCCCTCCACTATCATCCTCCACTGCCGAGAAAGTTTCTGAACTGGGAGAGGATATTCCATCTCCCCTCTCCTCCTCTAGGGCCTGATCTAGGTCCTCCAAGATTTCTGTCCACTCGGGGAGCCTGCATTCACAGGCCTGAGGTCTAGAAACAGTCCTCCCCTGCGTCCCAAGTAGCATCCTGTATCAGGACTAGAAATGAGATAATGGAATCCTAAATTTCTAGCTGAGTGACCTTGGGCAAGTCACTTCACCTCTGTGCTTCAGTGTCCTTGTCTGTAAAATGAGGAAAATAATACTTTACGGGGTGACTGTGAAAGAGGGTTCATTGAGAAAATGCAGGCACAGTGCCTGGCATCTGGTCTGAACTCCTCCCCCAGTCTTTTCCCAGGCCTCTGAGGCCTGTCTCCCAAGAAGGTATTGTCTGTGTGTATGATTCAGTGAATATTAAGAAGGGACCTGCCCCCCGCCTCTCAGTTATCTTCCCTTATCCATTTATTACAGGGCCTAAACAGTCTAGCAGTAGAAATCACCCACTCCCTGACCCATTTTATTTTATTTTATTTTATTTTATTTTATTTTATTTTAGACAGAGTCTTGCTCTATCACCCAGGCTGGAGTGCAGTGGCGTGATCTCGGCTCACTGCTGCCTCTGCCTCTCGAGTTCAAGCGATCCTCCTGTCTCAGCCTCCTTAGTAGTTGGGACTACAGGTGCACGCACCACCACGCCCAGCAAATTTTTTTGTGTTTTTAGTAGAGACGGGGATTTCACCACGTTGCCCAGGCTGATCTCGAACCTCTGACCTGAAATGATCCGCCCACCTCAGCCTCCCAAAGTACCTGGATTACAGGCATTAGCCACAAGGCCCGACCCTCCCTGACGCATTTTATTTTATTTATTTATTTTGAGATGGAGTTTCGCTTTTGTTGCCCAGGCTGGAGTGCAATGGCACGATCTCGGCTCACTGTAACCTCCACCTCCCAGGTTCAAGCGATTCTCCTGTCTCAGCCTCCCGAGTAGCTGGGAGTAAAGGCATGCGCCACCACACCTGTCTAATTTTTGTATTTTTAGTAGAGACGGGGTTTCACCATGTTGGTCAGGCTGGTCTCAAATTCCTGATCTCAGGTGATCCGCCTGCCTCTGCCTCCCAAAATGCTGGGATTACAGGTGTGAGCCACTGTGCCCACCCCATGACCCATTTTAAAATGCAAATGACAGACCGGGCTTGGTGGGTCACATCTGTAATCCCAGCACTTTAGAAGGCTGAGGCGGGCAGATCACTTGAGGTCAGGAGTTCCAGACCAGCCTGGCCAACATAGTGAAACCCCGTCTCTACTAAAAATACAAAAATTAGCCAGGTATGGTTGCCCATGCCTGTAATCCCAGCTACTCCGAGGGTGAGGCAGGAGAATCGCTTGAACCCAGGAGGGAGAGGTTGCAGTGAGCCGAGATCGCGCCACTGCACTCCAGCCTGAGTGACAGAGTGAGAATCCGTTAAAACAAAAAAAAAGAGAAGAAAAAAGAAAAAAAAATTAGCCGGGCGTGCCGGTGCGCGACTGTAGTTCCAGCTACTCCGGAGGCTGAGACAGGAGGATCGCTTGAACTCGGGAGGTGGAGGCTGCAGTGAGCAGAGATCGCGCCACTACACCCCAGCCTGGGCGACAAAGCAATACACCATCTCCAAAAATAAATAAATAAATAAATATAAAAATAAAACATTTAAAAAATGCAAATGCCCCCAAGAGGTAACACTTCATGCTACTCAAGAGCTGCAGGAAACAGCTTTCAGAGCTGAGGGTCTTAAGGCTTACCCAGGGTCTGGGCGGGTGAGTGAGCCTGAGGCTAAAGCAGGTTATCACTGCATATGTCAATTTAAAAAGCACTGCGGGGGAGCCTTTGAACCGCGGGGTATCTCGACCCAGGTTGGGACACCCACACAACCGCAAGGAAGCCGCTTCACTCCAACCTTGAACTCTACCCAGGAGCCCAGTCACAAGATCCAGCTGTCGGGGGTGGGGCTTGGGGGGGACGCGGCCGTGCCTGTTCTCCAAGCTGATTGGCTGACAGTTGTGCCCCCTGCTGCGACAGAATTCGAGGGGGTGGGGCTATGCCCGGACAGAGGATCGCCTCGCTGGCCTACTCTCTCCTCCCGTACGGCGCCGGAATCCCAGCTCCACTTACCAGGCCGCGGCTACCCCGCCGTCCCCCCCGACTCCCGCCACCCCGCTCTCTCAGGCTCTTCAGGATCCAAGTCCGTAGGCCCTTTAAGGGGTCTAGTTGCCGTTTGCGAGGCCCTGGGACTTTGGTCCCAGACAGCGGGGATCCGGATGGCTTCCGTGCGGATCCGAGAGGCCAAGGAGGGAGACTGTGGAGATATCCTGAGGCTGATTCGGGTGAAGACTGCAGGCCGGTAACCCGGGGGTCAGAGTGGCGCGGCCAGAGCGGGGTCGTAGGAGGCGGGGGCAGGGGGAGGGGCTCGCCTTGGGAACCTGCTCGGGGAGCAGCGGGGCCCTTCTGCTCTAATCTAGCTTCCGTACCCACGCCTTAGGAGCTAGCCGAATTCGAAAAACTCTCGGATCAGGTGAAGATCAGTGAAGAAGGTGGGGGCTCAGCGCCCAGGTTCTGGCGGAGGCTGGGGAGGAAATGAGGGATGGGTTCCCCAGGCGACAGCTCCAGGCTGGGCATACACCCACGTCCTCTTTCTCTATCTCTTTGTCACAACTCCAATCTCGGCAGCCCTGAGAGCAGATGGCTTTGGAGACAATCCTTTCTATCACTGTTTGGTAGCAGAGATTCTTCCAGCGCCCGGGAAGCTACTGGGTAAGAGCACCTGGCCCTTAGAAGTCCACCTCTCCAGCCGGCCTCAGAGGTCTCCCCACAGGCTTCCAGAAGCCTTACTCCCCTTTTCTCTCTCTCAGGGCCCTGCGTGGTGGGCTATGGGATATACTATTTCATCTACAGTACATGGAAGGGACGCACCATTTATCTGGAGGATATCTATGTGATGCCGGAATATCGGGGTACTGGGCAGAAGCTGAGGCTGGGGTGGGAGCAAAGCACCCCACAGACCCCACTGTTATCCCCTGTCCCCAGAGCCCAGCCGGTGTCATTTTCTGATCCCCTTCAGCTCAAACAATAGCTATTTTTTGCCTCTTTCTCTCCACAACAGGTCAAGGGATTGGTTCCAAAATAATCAAAAAGGTGGCTGAGGTGAGGAGATGGGTGGGGCGACAAGTGAGGACCTGAAGAAGCAAGGGTATATGGAGGGGGGACCCGGGTTGAAAGAGGGAGTGAGAAAACCTTTTTCTTTTTTGACCCCAGAAAAGTTAGTGTTGTCTTCTCCCACAGGTGGCCTTGGATAAGGGCTGCTCCCAATTCCGCCTGGCCGTCCTGGACTGGAACCAGAGGGCCATGGACTTGTACAAGGCCCTAGGAGCCCAAGATCTGACGGAAGCTGAGGGCTGGCACTTCTTCTGCTTTCAAGGAGAGGCAACGAGAAAGTTGGCAGGAAAGTGACGCCATCCCTAGGAGGATCTCTGTCTTGAGTTTCTCCTTCCCCATCAGCTGAAGCACTCTTCAGAGACTACGTCCACAGACACTGATGCTGAGGCCTCCCTGGAGGAAGGAGGGTTAGGGGTGCCTATCCTCAAGTATTGGAAGAGCAGAATTGAGGGAGAGACCTTTCTTCCTTGTTGAGGGTGAAAAATAAATAAGAATTACATGTCCTGATGTGGTGTTGGGTCTTTCTTTTATTTCTTTTTTTTTTTTTTTTTGAGACAGAGTCTCTGTCGCGCACGCTGGAGTGCAGTGGTGCGAACTCCGCTCACTGCAACCTCTGCCTCACGGGTTCAAGCAATTATCCTGCCTCAGCCTCCCGAGTAGCTGGGACTACGGGTGCGCACCACCATGCCCGGCTAATTTTTAGTAGAGACGGTGTTTCACCATACTGGCCAGGCTGGTCTCCAACTCCTGATCTCGTGATCCGTCCGCCTCGGCCTCGAAAAGTGCTGGGATTACTGGTGTGAGCCACTGCACCCAGTCCAAAGTCTTTTTTTTTTTTTTTGAGATCAAGTCTTGCTGTTGTCCTCAGGCCAGAGTGCAAGGAGTGCAAAGGTTTGATCTTGGCTCACTGCAACATCCGCCTCCCGGGTTCAAGTGATTCTCCTGCCTCAGACTCCCGAGTAGCTGGGATTACAGGCGCCTGCTACCACATGCGGCTAATTTTCGTATTTTTAGTAGAGACGGGGTTTCACCTTGTTGGCCAGGCTGGTCTCAAATTCCTGACCTCAGGTAGTCCGACTGCCTCGGCCCCCCAAAGTGCTGGGATTACAGGTGTGAGCCACCGCGCCCAGCCCACAGTCTTTTCTTTTTCTTTTTATTTTTTTTGAGACAGAGTCTCGCTCTGTCACCCAGGCTGGAGGGCAGTGGTGAGATCTTGGCTCACTGCAAGCTTTGCCTCTTGGGTTCTCACCATTCTCCTGCCTCAGCCTCCTGAACAGCTGGGACTACAGGCCCCCGCCACCACGCCCGGCTAAGTTTTTGTATTTTTAGTAGAGACGGGGTTTCACCGTGTTAGCCAGGATGGTCTCGATCTCCTGACCTCGTGATCCACCCACCTTGCCTCCCAAAGTGCTGAGATTACAGGCGTGAGCCACCACGCCTGGCCTGACAGTCTTCATTTTCAATCTGGTATGCCCTACAAAAGCTCATGCCTGGCCGGGCTCAGTGGCTTATGCCTGTGATCCCAGCAGTTTGGGAGGCCGAGGCGGGTCGATCATCTGAGGTCAGGAGTTCAAGAGCAGCCTGACCAACACAGCAAAACCCCATCTCTACTAAAAATACAAAATTAGCCAGGCGTGGTGGCAGGCGCCTGTAATCCCAGCTACTCAGGAGGCTGAGGCAGGAGAATCGCTTGAACCTGGGAGATGGAGGTTGCAGTGAGTCAAGATCATGCCACTGCACTCCAGCCTGGGCAACAAGAGCAAAACTCCATCTCCAAAAAAAAAAAAAAAAAAAAAAGCTCACGCCTGTAATCCCAGCATTTTGGATTTTGGGAGGCCGGCAAATTGCTTGAGCCCAGGAGTTCAAGAGCAGCCTGGCCAACATAGGAAAGCAAAGTCTCGTCTCTACAAACAATACAAAAAAAGCCAGCACGCAATGGCATGCTCCTCTAGGCCCAGCTACTGGGGAGGCTGAGGCATGAGAATCGCTTGATCCCAGGAAGTGGAGGTTGCAGTGAGCCGAGATCATGCCACTGGACTCCAGCCTGAGTGACAGAGCCATACCCAGTCTCAAAAACAAAAACAAAACAGCAACAACAAAAATCTCAACACTTTGAGAGGTTGAGGGTGGAGGATCACTTGAGCCCAGGAGTTCAAGACCAGCCTAGGCAACATGGGCAAGACCACATCTCTACAAAATTAGGCCGGGTGCAGTGGTTCATCCTTATAATCCCAGCACTTTGGGAGGCAGGCAGATCACTTGAGGTCAGGAGTTCGAGACCAGCCTGGCCAACATGGTGAAATCCCATCTCAACTAAAAATACAAAAATTAGCTGGGTGTGGTGGCACCCATGTAATTCCAGCTACCTGGGAGGTTGAGGCATGAGAATCGCTTGAACCCAGGTGGCAGAGGTTGCAGTGAGCTGAGATTGTGCCACCGCACTCCAGCCTGGGTGACAGATGGAGACTCTGTCTCAAAAAAAAAGAAAATGGCCAGGCGTGGTGGCTCACGTCTGTATCCTAACACTTTGGGAGGCCAAGGCGGGTGGATCACTGGAGGTCAGGAGTTTGAGACCAGCCTGGCGAACAGGGTGAAACCCTGTTTCTACTAAAAATACAAAAATTAGCTGGTCTTGGTGGTGCAAGCCTGTAATCCCAGCTACTTAGGAGGCTGAGGCAGGAGAATCACTTGAACCTAGGAGGTGGAGTTTGCAGTGAGCCGAGATTGCACTACTGCACTCTGGGCGACAGAGCAAGACTCTGTCTAAAACAAACAAACAAACCCAAAGAAAACAAAAACTAAATAAATAAAATTTGCCCAGGTCAGTAACAAATGCCTGTAGTCCCAACTACTCAGGAGGCTGAGGTGGGAGGATCACCTGAACCCTAGAGGTCGAGGCTGAAGTGAGTCACGTTTGTGCCACCACACTCCAGCCTGAGTGACAGAGTGAGACCTTGTCTCAAAACAAAAAAAAAATAATAGGTTGGGTACAGTGGCTCACGCCTATAATCCCAGCATTTTGGAAAACCAAGGTGGGTAGATCAATAGAGTCCAAGAGTTCAAGACTAACCTGGGCAACAGGGCAAAACCCGGTCACTGCAAAAAATACAAAAACATTAGCCGAGCTTGGTGGCAAATGCCTGTAGTCCCAGCTACTGGGGGGCTGAGATGGGAGGACGGCTTGAGCCTGGGAGGTTGAGGCTACAGTGAACTGAGAACCTGTCAATGCACTCTAGCCTGGGTGACAGAGCAAAGCCCTGTCTCAAAAAACAAACTTTAATCACTAATGCAGAAGATAAAAGAGTATAAACTAGGAAACTTAATACTTCCAAAATTTTGTTTGTTTGTTTGAGATGGAGTTTCACTCTTGTTGCCCAGGTTGGAGTGAAATGGCACGATCTCACTCACTGCAACCTCCACCTCCTGGGTCCAAGCAGTTCTCCTGCCTCAGCCTCCTGAGTAGCTGGGATTACAGGCATGCGCCACTACGCCTGGCTAATTTTGTGTTTCTAGTAGAGATGAGGTTTCTCCATGTTGGTCAGGCTGGTCTCCAATTCTGACCTCAGGTGATCTGCCCACCTCGGCCTCCAAAAGTGCTGGGATTGCAGGCGTGAGCCACTGTGCCCGGCCAATACTTCCAAAATTTATCTTGCCCCCATCTTGTTTTGTCTTTGGTTTTCAGAGTTTACTTTTTTTTTTTTTTTGAGACGGAGTCTCGCTCTTTCGCCTAGGCTGGAGTGCAGTGGCGCGATCTCGGCTCACTGCAAGCTCTGCCTCTCAGGTTCGTGCCATTCTCCTCCCTCAGCCTCCCAAGTAGCTGGGACCACAGGCGCCTGCCACCACGCCCAGCTAATTTTTTTTTTTTTTGTATTTTTAGTTGAGACGGGGTTTCACTGTGTTAGTCAGGATGGTCTCGATCTCCTGACCTAATGATCTGACCACCTCGGCCTCCCAAAGTACTGGGATTACAGGCGTGAGCCACCGTGCCCAGCCCAGGGTTTACATTTTTAATGTTATTACCCTCACCTTGGTCCCAGATCTTACTAATATTCATAGAATATCTTTGCACTCCAGTATCACTCCATTTTCACAACCACCCCCATGTCTACATCCTTGGGCTCCAGCCCATTCATCACTTCATTAGCCATCTATAAAATGATCCTGGCCAGGCCAGGCGCAGTGGCTCACGCCTGTAATCCCAGCACTTTGGGAGGCCAAGGTGGGCAGATCACCTGATGTCAGGAGTTCCAGACCAGCCTGGTCAACATGGTGAAACCCTGTCTCTACTAAAAATACAAAAATTAGCTGGGCGTGGTGGTGGGCACCTGTAATCCCAGCTACTTGGGAGGCTGAGGCAGCAGAATTGCTTGAACCCGGGAGGTGGAGGTTGCAGTGAGACAAGATTGAGCCACTGCACTCCAGCCTGGGTGACAGAGTGAGACTCCCTCTTACAAAAGAAAAAAAAAAGTGATCCTATTAGGTGTTGGGGCTGATTGGAGTGGGGTGAAAAGGGCCTGGGTTCTGTCCATTCTAAGGGAAACAGAGTGGAGGGTATTTAGGCTAATGGCTTTTTAAAGGGAGAATAAAGAAAACTTGGGCTGGGCGTAGTGGCTCACACCTGTAATCCCAGCACTTTGGGAGGCCGAGGCGGGTAGATCATTTGAGGTCAGGAGTTTGAGACCAGCCTGACCAACATGGTGAAACCCTGTCTCTACTAAATACAAAAAAAAAAAAAAATTAGCCGGGCATGGTGGCGCATGCCTGTAATTCCAGCTACTTGGGAGGCTGAGGCAGGAGAATCGCTTGAACCCAGGAGGCGGAGGTTGCAGTGAGCCAAGATTGCGCCACTGCACTCCAGCCTGGGCAACAGAGCAAAACTCCATCTAAAAAAAAAAAATTAAAATGTCTCTCAAATCTGTCCATAGCTCTATCCTTACTTGCAAAGTTCTCACTCTTTGAAAATTGCCACAACCTCCTTACTGGTCTCCCAGCCTCCTTCTGTAATTTCTCCCCCAATTCCATGGGATTTTTTTTTTCACAGATATACATTATGTACTTTATTTTATTATTTAAATTTAATTTATTTCTTTATTTTGAGACCAGTTTATGCAGCTGGTTTTTTTTTTTTTTTTTTTTTTTAGACGGAGACTCGCTCTGTTGCCCCCAGGCTGGAGTGTAGTGGCATGATCTTGGCTCACTGCAACCTCTGCCTCCCAGGTTCAAGTGATTCTCCTGCCTCAACCTCTTGAGTAGCTGGGATTACAGGCGTGCACCACCACGCCCAGCTAATTTTTGTATTTTTTTTTAGTAGAGATGGGTTTTCACCATGTTGGCCAGGCTGGTCTCAAACTCCTGACCTCAGATGATCTGCCCGCCTCAGCCTCCCAAAGTGCTGGGATTACAGGTGCGAGCCACTGTGTCAAGCCCATAATTTTTGTATTTTTAGTAGACATGGGGTTTCTCCGTGTTGGCCAGGCTGGTCTCGAAATCCTGGCCTCAAGCAATCCTCCATCCACATAAATGATAATACATTTGCCCACGTGGCGATCAAATCCACAACCTTGGTGTTAGCACCTGGCTCTAACCAACTGAGCTAACTGGCTATTGCAAATCTTGATTTTTTTTTTTTTTTTTTTTTTTTTTTTTGTGACAGGGTCTTGCTCTGTTGCCCAGGCCAAGTGCAGTGGTGCGATCATGGCTCACTGCAACCTTGACCTCCTGGGCTCAAGTGATTCTCCCACCTCAGCCTCTCAAGTATCTGGGATCACAGTCAGGTGCTATCAAGCCTGGCTAATGAAAGCAAAATTTTTGTCTGGGCACGGTGGCACATGCCCGTAATTCTAGCACTCTGGGAGGCCGAGGCAGGTGGCTCACCTGAGGTCAGGAGTTCGCGACCAGCCTGACTACCATGGTGAAACCCTGTCTCTACTAAATACAAAAAAATTAGCTGGGTGTGGTGGCACATGTCTGTAATCCAAGCTATTTGGGAAACTGAGACAGGAGAATCACTTGTACCTGGGAGGCAGAGGTTGTAGAGAGCCGAGATTGCACCATTGCACTCCAGCCTGGGTAACAAGAGCAAAACTCCGTCCCCCAAAAAAACAAAAAAAAAAATTATTAATCTGGGCACTGTAGCTCACGCCTGTAATCCCAGCACTTTGGAAGGCTGAGGCGGGTGGATCACTTGAGGTCAGGAGTTCGAGACCAGCCTGGCTAACATGGTGAAACCCCACCCGTCTCTACTAAAAATACAAAAATTAGCCAGATGTGGGGGCAAACGGCTGTAATCCAAGCTACTTGGGAGGCTCAGGCAGGAGGATCTCTTGAACCCGGGAGGCAGGGGTTGCAGTGAGCCAACATCGTGCCACTGCACTCTAGCCTAGGCAACAGAGTAAGACTCTGTCTCAAAAAACAAACAAACAAACAACAAATTTTTTATTGGAGACTAGGTCTCACTATGTTGTCCAGGCTAGTATTGGACTCCAGAGCTCAAGCAATCCTCCCACTTTGGCCTCCCAAAGGAGGGAGGATTACAGGTGTGAGCCACCACGCCTGGCCAGTATTACCACTTCTTGATGTCTCTTTTTCTTTTTCAATTTTTTCAATTTTTTTTTTTTTTTGGAGAGGGATAAGGAGTCTTTACTTTTTTAGAGACAGGGTCTTTTTCTGTTGCCTAGACTGGAGTACAGTGGCACGATCATAGCTCACTGTAACCATGAACTTCTGGCCTTAACTGATCCTCTTGCCTTGGCCTCCCAAAGGGCTGGGATTACAGGCATGTGCCACTGCTCTTGGCCTTACTTCTTAAGGTTGAGGCTGAAGTGGGGCATGTTTGAGCCACTGCACTCCAGTGTTTTTTGTTTAGGCATTAGCTATTGGCTTTGCACTGTTGAGGATGAAAAGCTAGCCCTTCAGAACACGGATCACTGAGGTTAAAAAAAGAGAAGCACTATTTTTCCAATCTGCTTATCATCCCACCTCCACTTCCCATCCTCCTGTGTTTAGTGTTTACTTTTTTTTTTTTTTTTTGAGACGAAGTTCCGCTCTTGTTGCCCAGGCTGGAGTGCAATGGCATGATCTCGGCTCATGCAGAGGCAACCTCTGCCTCCCGGGTTCAAGCAATTGTCCTGCCTCAGCCTCCTGGGTAGCTGGGATTACAGGTGCATGCCACCATGCCTGGCTAATTTTTGTATTTTTAGTAGAGATGGGGTTTCACCATGTTGGTCAGGCTGGTCTCGAACTCCTGACCTCATGATCCGCCTATCTTGACCTCCCAAAGTGCTGGGATTACAGGCATGAGCCACCGCACCAGCCTTAGCATTTACATTATTATGATTTTTTTTTTTTTTTGAGATGGAGTTTCACCCTTAATGCCCAGGCTGGAGTGCAATGGCGCGATCTTGGCTCACTGCAACCTCTGCCTGCTAGGTTCAAGCAATTCTCCTGCTTCAGCCTCCCGAGTAGCTGGGATTACAGGCATGTGCCACCACACCTGGCTAATTTTGTATTTTTAGTAGAGATGGAGTTTCTCCATGTTGGTCAGGCTGGTCTTGAACTCCTGACCTCAGGTGATCTGCCCACCTCGGCCTCCCAAAATGCTGGGATTACAGGTGTGAGCCACCATGCCTGGCCTCATTATTATGATTATTATGATTATACGAATACACGTATGATCCATGTGGATAGTTACAATTCTTTTTCTTTCCTGTACCATTTTTGTTTTCCCTGGAATTAATAACTGCCTTGTCCTCTCTGTTTGCTTAGTTTCCTGTGTACTCTAATTTATCCCCAAATTCTCCCTTAATTAATCTCTTATAAGGATATACAAACACTTAGGGATTTCAATCTACGTCATTTTGAAGAACTTTCTCAAAAAGCTCTTAGACCTGCTCCAGTCCAGAGAGGCGATCTTGAGGCTGCGCAATTGGGATCTCCCTTCACCTTTATCCTGGGGATCCCCTTTGCCTCTCTCTTGTGTTGACGTCCTGTTTCCTGGAACCTGTGTTTCCTCTTTCTATGTTTACTCTTCTTATTTTGATGGAGCTTTTTGAGAAAGAGTACCGGGAGGTAAATTTGTTGGGAACTTAAAAGCCTGAAAATGTCTGTTCTATTACTGCACTTAATTGAGAGTGTGGGCCGGGCGCAGTGGCTCATGCCTATAATCCCAACACTTTGGGCAGCCGAGGTGGGTGACCCACCTGAGGTGAGGAGTTTGAGACCAGCCTGGCCAACGTGGTGAAACCCCGTCTTTACTAAAAATACAAAAAAAACAAAAACAAAAACAAAAACAAAAAAAACAAACCTAGCCAGCTGTGGCAGTGGGCACCTATAATCACAGCTACTCAGGAGGCTGAGGCAAGAGAATCACTGGAACCTGGGAGGCAGAGGTTGCAGTGAGCCGAGATCATACCACTGCACTCCAGTCTGAGTGGCAGAGTAAGACTCTATCTCAACAACAAAAAAATATTGAGAGTGTGGCTAGGTATAGGAAACGAGGTTGGAAATAATTTTTTTTTTTGAGACAGAATCTTTCTCTGTCACCCAGGCTGTATGTAGTGCAGTGGTGTGATCTCGGCTCACTGCAACTTCAGCCTCCCAAGTTCAAGAGATTCTCCTCCCTCAGCTTCCTGAGTAGTTGGGATTACAGGCACACGCTACCACGTGTGGCTAATTTTTATATTTTTAGTAGAGATGGGGTTTCACCATGTTGGCCAGGCTGGTCTCAAACTCCTGACCTCAGATGATCCACCCACCTCGGCATCCCAAAGTGCTGGGATTACAGGCGTGAGCCGCCGCACCCAGCTAATTTTTGTAGTTTTGGTAGAGAAAGGGTTTCGCCATGTTGCCCAGGCTGCTCCTGAACGCCCGAGCTCAAGTGATCTGCCTGCTTCAGCCTCGCAAAGTGCCAGGATTACAGGCATGAGCCACCACACCTGGCCTTGGAAAATTTTGTTGAATAATTATTACTATTGATTTTAGATGATTTTATCCTTTCCAGATAATTATTTCTGTTATCACTTTCTGGAATTCTGGTTATTCAGATGTTGTATCCCATGGACTAATCCTTTAATTTTCTTATACTTTATTTTCCTTTCTTCTATCGCCTTTATTTATTTTTGTTTTTTATTTTAATTTTTTGAGATGGAGTCTCGCTCTGTCACCCAGGCTGGAGTGCAGTGGCACAATCTTGGCTCACTGCAACCTCTGCCTCCTGGGTGCAAGCGATTCTCCTGCCTCAGTCTCCCGAGTAGCTGGGACTACAAGCGCGTGCCACCATGCCCAGCTAATTTTTGTATTTTTAGTAGAGATGGAATTTCACCAGACTGGTCTTGAACTCCTGACCTCAGGTGACCTCAGGTGATCCACCCGCCTCAGCCTCCCAAAGTGCTGGGATTACAGGCATGAGCCCTGTGCCTGGCCATGGTTGCAATATTAATAATTATTATAAATATTAATAATTTTTCCAGTGTCTTTCTTCTGCCATCACACTATGAAGTCAGAGACTTCCAAGTCTGTTTGTCTCCACCATTAAATACAAAAATTTAAAAATTAGCCAGATGTGGTGGCTAAGCTCAAAGGGCAAAAAAAAAATAAAAGTAAATTCATCACCTTATTTTCTAAACCTTTATCTCCTATGTTATCTCTTCCATGATTGGCATTACCATTTACTCTAATCCAAGAAGTGGATGGAACATAGGACAACTCCCAGAATGTGAAGTTTTCCTGCTACTACCCTTATTTCATGACAGTTTTTCCTATTTTGAATTTCCCCAGCATTATTTATTATTATTATTACTATTTTTTGAGACAGAGTGTCGCTCTTTTTGCCCAGGCTGGAGTGCAATGGCACAATCTGGGCTCACTGCAACCTCTGCCTCCCAGGTTCAAGCAATTCTCTTGCCTCAGCCTCCCAAGTAGCTGGGTTTACAGGCATGCACCACCATGCCCAGCTAATTTTTGTATTTTTAGTAGAGATGGGGTTTCACCATGTTGGCCAGGCTGGTCTTGAACTCCTGACCTTGTGATCCACCCATCTTGGCCTCCCAAAGTGCTGGGATTACAGGCGTGAGCCACCGCGCCGGGCCACTATTATTATTATTTGTTGTTGTTGTTGTTGAGATGGAGTCTCGCTCTGTCGCCCCAGCTGGAGTGCAGTGGCACGATCTCCGCTCACTGCAACCTCCGCCTCCTGGGTTCACGCCATTCTCCTGCCTCAGCCTCCCGAGTAGCTGGGACTACAGGCGCCCGCCACCACGCCCAGCTAATTTTTTTTTTTTTTTTTTTTTTTTGTATTTTTAGTTGAGATGGGGTTTCACCGTGTTAGCCAGGATGGTCTCGATCTCCTGACCTCGTGATCCGCCCGTCTCGGCCTCCCAAAGTGTTGGGATTATAGGCATGAGCCACCGCGCCCTGCCATTATTATTATTTTTAAAGAAGAAATTTCACTCATTGCCCAGGCTGGAGTGTGGTGGCATGATATCCACTCACTGCAACCTCCACCTTCCTAGGTTCAAGCGATTCTCCTGCCTCAGCCTCCTGAGTAGCTGGGACTCCTTCCGAGTAGCTGGAACTACCACGGCTAATTTTTTGTATTTTAGTAGAGACGAGGTTTCACCATGTTGGCCAGAATGGTCTCCATCTCCTGACCTCGTGATCCGCCCGCCCGTGATCTCGGCCTCCCAAAGTGCTGGGATTACAGGCCTGAGCCACCGCGCCCGTCCTAATTTTTGTATTTTTAGTAGAAACAGGGTTTCGCCCTGTTGAGGCTGGTGTCAAACTTTTGGGCTCAAGTGATCCACCGCCTGAGCCTCCTAAAGTGCTGGGATTACAGGAGTGAGCCACAGCGCCCGTCTGAAACTATTCTTAAAGCTTTCTTTCTATTCTTTCTTTCTTTTTTTTTTTTTTTTGAGACTGAGTCTTGCTCTGTCGCCCAGGCTGGAGTGCAATGGTGCGATCTTGGCTCACTGCAACTTCTGCCTCCCAGGTTCAAGGTAGTCTCCTGCCTCAGCCTCCCGAGTATCTGGGATTACAGGCGCGTGTCACCACGCCCGGCTAATTTTTGTATTTTATTAGATGCGGGGTGGGGGGGGGGGTGGGTTTCACCATTTTGGCCACGCTGGTCTCGAACCCCTGACCTCAGGTGATCCGAGGACCTCAGGTGATCCACCTGCCTCGGCCTCCCAGAGCGCTGGGATTACAGGCGTGAGCCACCGCGCCCGGCCAAAACTTTCATTGTATCACAATCTCTTCAAGGTAAGAGCCATGACTGTTAAATCTACTACAGTAGAGAGTTACAGATTCTTAAAATATCGGCGATGCATACGCGAAGAGGGTAAAGCTCAGCGCGTGCGCACCAAGCACCTTTTTCCTTGCGGCGACTCCTCTTCTTTTTTTTTTCTTTTTGGAGCGTGCGCACCAAGAAAGACAAAGGTGGGGAAAGTGACCAAGCAGTCGTTCAGGCGCATGCCCATCCCTAACTTGTCCAAGCCCGGTGGGGCCAGCGGCGGCGGAGTGGGTGTGGCCTGAGCGCTGTGTGACTGTGCGGACGCCGCCCAATCGGACTGAGCGAGCCCGGCCCCTCCCTCCCCCTGATTGGTTGGTTCTCAGTGTTGTGGGGCGGGGAAAGGAAGAGACGGGGTGGCTGGGCGGTGGAGCGGTGAAGAAAGAAGGCTAATCTTGTTCTGCGCAAGCGCTAGCAAGCGACCAGGAGGGGGAGTGAGAGAGTGAAAGGGAATGTGGAAGCCCCGATGCGCTAGCTGGCGCTAGCTGGGGCTCTAACCTTGACGCCTGCGCGGTGGCCCTCGGGGCCCCGCGCGCAGCGGGCGGGTGCCCGGTGCGCCTGCGCAGTAGGCGGCGGTGGCAGGGGGAGGTGGAGGCTGTGGAGCGGCAGCGGCAGCAGCGGGTCCCGGGACTGAGGCAGCAGCGGGGGCGGCGGCGGGCGGAAGCTGAGGTGACGAAGGCAGCGGCGGCGGCGGCCGTTTCCCTCACGGTGGCGGAGACCAAGGCGGCGGCGGCGGACGGGGAGCGGCCCGGCCCCGGCCCCCTGCTCGTTGGCTGTGGCAGGGCCGCCGTGGGGCCGGCCCGGCTCCCGCCCCCCGCGGCTCCCCCTCCGGCTCCTCCTCCGGGGAGACGCCGGGGGCCTGGCCCGGCCCGCACTCAGACTGCTGCTGCAGCCGCCGCCGGGGGAGTCGGAGGCGGTGGCGGCGCCATGGGCGGCCTGGCCTCTGGGGGGGATGTGGAGCCGGGACTGCCCGTCGAGGTGCGCGGCTCCAACGGGGCCTTCTACAAGGTGAGACGGCGCGCCGACTGGGGACGCCGGTCCTTAGCCCCCTCCCCTGGCCGGAGCAGGAACGCGTGGGGCGGGATCGAGCTTCTGGAGCTGAGTCCTGGCCCTTAGAATCTTGGACCCTTGCTCCAACCCGCAGCCTTCCCTGGGAGACCGCTTAGAGTGAACCCTGTTCCTCTTATTTTTGACCCCTCTAAGGCACCTGCACCTGCTTCTACCCCCATCTCCGGGAGAATGAACTTCAGGCCATTATTGTCCCTGGCTTGGCGCTCCCCGCTCCGCAGGAGAGACCCCTTTACCCAGCTTCTAATTGACTGTGTCCGTTGTCTGGTGGAAGACATACCTTAGACCTTAATCACATCTTCCCCACGATCCAAGCACATGGAGAATTGTCTTTCTTCCACACGGTCCCTTTGGGAAGGCCCTCTGTCCCGTAAAAGATCCTTTCATCTTCCTCAGAGAGGCCTCTGCCTACTGGCTCTGGAACACTCACCCCACTTTCATCTTATATTCCGGTTCCCAAGCCAAGGAGAAATGGTCAGATCCATTTACGACGTTTGGCATCTTTGACCTCAGGAACCCTGGGTTGGATCAGTCAAGTTGCTTCCCAGCCAGCCATAAGGTGGCATCTTTCGCAAGTCTCTCTCCCCACCACACCTTGATCTCAAGACCCACTGCTCTACCATTCTACTCAGGAATGGATTTGAGGTCTCACTTAGACCTCAGATACCTTCAGGTCATTCATATAGTTTCTTCGTCTTGAGGCATGTAAGCTTCATAGTCATAATCTCTAAAAGGATCTCTGAAAGGAAGCTTATGAGGTTCCCTTCTGTTTATCTTAAGATTTCCACTTCTTGAAGACTCTTGGCCAACTATCCCAGTTCGGGAATCTGACAACCTTTTTTGGAAGACGGGATCATCTTTCAAAGACCCTTCCTTATTTCACCTCCCCCTTTGCCCAGGATTTGGTTCCTTAGAACTCCTTATAATACCACCTTCCTTATCTGCTCTGAATCTATTTTCTAGGACATTTTTTTCCCATTTAGATTAAGCCAGAGAGAGCCCTTTCTTGCCTCCCAAGAGTTTTTCTTTGTGTGACTGTTGGTATTCTGAACCTCTTGGATTTGATGCCTGGAATTGTCCTAGAGACTCTCCTGATTTCTGTCTCATTCTTTGATTTCACCCTGGGGAGCTGGGGAAGAGATACCTTCCCATGGCATCACTTGTTAAGAGTGGATCCCCCTTCCCCCTTTCCTTCAGTTCCCCTCAGGCCTTTTTCCCCCACTGTAGTCCTCTCTAGTTTCTCATGCCCTTGGAAATGTCTTTCTTTGACTCCTTCTCTAAGTCATATTTTTCTATAACTGCAGAGGGTCTTGTAATTTCTCTTGGGTGGTTTCTGCCTGTACTTCAGTTGCTAAGTGCATTGTAGTCATTTTTTTTTTTTTTTTTTTTTTTTTTGAGATGGAGTCTCGCCCTGTTGCCCAGGCTTGGAGTGCAGTGGTGCGATCTTGGCTCACTGCAAGCTCCGCCTCCCTGGTTCGCGCCATTCTCCTGCCTCAGCCTCCCGAGTAGCTGGGACTACAGGTGCCCACCACCATGCCCGGCTATTTTTTTGTATTTTTAGTAGAGACGGGGTTTCACTGTGTTAGCCAGGATGGTCTCGATCTCCTGACCTAGTGATCCACCTGCTTCGGCCTCCCAAAGTGCTGGGATTACAGGCGTGAGCCACCGCGCCCGGCCATTGTAGTCATTTTTTACTCACTCTTCATACTTACCCATTTTTGCCTTACTTCCCTCATCAGATTTATTTCTCTGCGGTGACTGTGGGTACCCATGTCTAACTTACCTTCTCAATTCAAGTTTTTAGCTTTTTCTCCTAATATTTCTGTATTCCTGTGTAATCCCCAGGAATCACCTTATTCCCTGTCTAGCTGAAGGAAGCTCCCTGCTGATCTCTTTTTGTCATTTTGTGCATACTTGCCTAACTCTTGGGACTTTTTCTTCTAGCCTGCCTCCATAGCATTTCTGTTTTCTTTGGCAAAAGTCTCTAATTCCTTTCTGCTTTTGATAGAGCACATTTGTCTCTCATATCCTTTTCCCCAAACTTGCATTACCTTTGTTGAAATAGCTT